>NC_000023.11:33791412-33941769 GCF_000001405.40 Homo sapiens
ATTTTGATAGAGATTACATTGAGTCTGTAGCTTGCTTTTGGTAATATGGACATTTTAACAATTTTGATTCTTCTAATCCATAAACGTGGAATATCCTTCCATTGTTTGGTGTCCTCTTCAATTATTTCTTTTATCAGTGTTTTCTAGTTTTCATTATAGCAATTTTCACTTCTTTGGTTAAGCTCATTCCTAGGTATTTAATTTTATGTGTGGCTATTGTAAATGGGATTACTTTTTTATTTTCTTTTCACATTGTTCACTGTTGGCATATGAAAATGCTACTGATATTGTATGTTAATATTTTATCCTGCAACTTTACTGAATTTGTCTATCAGTTCTAATAGTTTTCCTTTGAAGTCTTGAGGTTTTTCCAAATGTAAGATTATATCATCTGCAAACAGAATAATTTGATCTCTTCCTTTCCAATTTGGATGTTGGTTATATCTTTCTTTTGTCTTATTCCTCTAGCAAGGATTTCCAGTACTGTACTGAATAACAGTGGTGACAGTTAGCACCCCTGTTGTGTTCCATATCTTAGAAGAAAGGCTTTCACTTTTTTCCCATTCAATGTTATACGAGCTGTGGGTCTGTCATATACGACTTTTCTTGGGTTGACATATGTTCCTTTTATGTCCAGTTCGTTTAGCGTTTTTAATGTGAATACATGTTGAATTTTTTCATTTTTTCAACATCCATTAAAATGGTCATATGTTTTTATCCTTAGTTCGTTCCATTGATATGGTGTATCACATACATTGATTTGCACATGTTGAAACATTCCTTCATCCCAGGGATAAATCCCACTTGATCATGATGAATAATCTTTCTAATGTATTGTTGAATTCTGTTTGCCAGTATTTTGTTGAAGATTTTTGCATCAATATTCATGAGATATATTGTCCTGTAATTTTCTTTCTTTTTTTTTTTTTTGATGTTTGGAGGGTAATGCTGGCCTTGTTTTGTAAGTTTGGAAGTAATCTCACTGCCTACATTTTTCGGAAGAGCGTGAGTAGGATTGGTAGTATTTCTTCTTTAAATATTAGTTATAATTCAGCAGTAAAGCCAACAGGCTCCAGGCTTTCCTTTATTTGGAGAATTTTTATTATGACATCAATCTCGTTACTTGTTATTGATCTGTTCAGGTTTTGGATTTCTTCCTGGTTCAACGTTGGTAGGTTATATGTATTTAGGTATTTGTCCATTTCTTCTAGGTTTTCCAATTTATTGATATATAGTTGCTCATAGTAGCCACTAATGATCCTTTGAATTTCTGTAGTTTCAGTTGTAATATCTCCTTTTTCATATCTGATTTTATTTATTTGGAACTTCTTTTTTTCTTAGTCTGGCTAAAGGTTGGTCAATTTTTTTAACTTTTCAGAAGAAAAACCACAACTATTTGTTGTATTGATCTTTTCTATTGTTTTATTCATTTCAATTTTATTTCTTTCTGCTCTGATCTTTATTTCTTTTCTTCTACTACTATAATTTTGATTTTGGTTTGACCTTGGATTTTAAGTTCATTAAGATGCATCATTAGATTGTTCTTAAAAAGTTTTTCCTCTTTTTAAATGTAGGTCCCTATAGATAAAAGCTTCCCTCTTAGTACAGTTTTTTTTTTTTGTATCCAATAGGTTTTGGTATGCTGTTATTTTATTATCATTTGTTTAAGGAAATTTTTCTCTGTTTTTTCTCAATTTCTTCATCGACCCACTGGTCATTCAGGAGCATACTGTTTAATTTTCATATATTTGTATAGTTTTCAAAATCCCTCTTGTTATTAATTTCTTGTTTTATTTTATTATGGTCAGAGAAGATATTTGATATAATTTTATTTTTTTGAATGTTTTAAGACTTGTTTTGTGAATTAATATTTGCTCTGTTATTGAGAATGATCCATGTGCTGAGGAAAGGAATATATATTCTGCAGCTTTTGGATGAAATGCTCTGTAAATATTTATTAGGTCCATTTAATCTATAGCGTAGATTAAGTTTGATATTTCTTTATTGATTTTCTGTCTAGAAGATCTGTCCAATGCTGAAGGTAGCGTGTGGGTCTCCAGCTATTATTGTTCTGTGTTTTCTCATTCTCTTTTGCTCTCATAGTATTTGCTTTATATATCTGGATGCTCCAGTATTGGGTTCATATATATTTAAAATTGTTAGGCCAGGCACAGTGGCTCACACCTGTAATCCCAGCACTTTGGGAGGCTGAGGCAGGTGGATCACGAGATCAGGAGATCGAGACCATCCTGAATAACACGGTGAAACCCCGTCTCTACTAAAAATACAAAAAAATAGCCAGGCATGGTGGCGGGCACCTGTAGTCCCAGCTACTCGGGAGGCTGAGGCAGGAGAATGGCGTGAACCCGGGAGGCGGAGCTTGCAGTGAGCCGAGATCGCGCCACTGCACTCCAGCCTGGGCAACAGAGCGAGACTCCGTCTCAAAAAAGAAAAAAAATTGTTATGTTCTCCCGCTGAATTAACCCATTTTCTTTACATAGTCGCCTTCTGTGTCTCTTATAGTTTTTGCCTTGAAATCTATTTTGTCTGATGTAAGTGTAGCGACTTCTGCTCTTTTTTGGTTTCCATTGGCATGGAATATCTTTTTCCATCCCTTTATTTTCAGTCTAAGTGTGTCTTTATGAGTGAAGTGTGTTTCTTTTTGGCAACAGTTCAGTGAGACCTTTTTTTTTCATCCATTCAACTAGTCTATCCCTTGTCATTGGAGAGTTTATTTCATTTATATTCAATGCCATTGTTGATAAGCAAGGACTTACTCCTGCCATATTGTTGTTTTCTAGTTGTTCTATGGTCTTCTCTTCCTCTTTTCATTTCTTTCCACCTTCCTCTAGTGATAATAATTATCTCTGGTAATATGGTATTGTTTTTTGGTTTTTTTTTTGTATTTACTATATGCTTTGTTTATTTGAGGTTATCATGAGGCTTGCACATATTATCTTGTAACCTATTATTTAACCTGATAAAAACCTTATGTTATTTTCATAAACAAACAAAAAGTCAAAAAGAAAACTAGTAAAAACTCTATGTCCTAACTTTGTCCCTCTGCTTCTTAACTTTTTATTGTTTCTGTTTATATCCTATTGTACTATGTCATGAAAAGTTGTTGTGGTCATTATTTTTCATTGGTCGATTATTTAGTCTTTCTACTTAGGGTAAGAGTAGTTTACTCATCACAGGTACAATGTTAATAATATCCTATGTTTTCCTGTGTACTTACTTTTATCAGTGAGTTTTATACCTTCAGGTGATTGTTTATTGCTCATTAATGTCTTTTACTTTCTGATTGATGGACTTCCTCTAGCATTTCTTGTAGGATAGGTTTGGTGTTGATGAAATCCCTCCGCATTTGTATTAATACCCTTAATTTTACAGAAGATAAAATTTACTTGAGAGAAGTTAAGAAAATTATCCCTTGCTAGTCTACTAGTTAGTGAATGTTCCAAAAATCACCAAATATCCTAATATTCAGTCTTCTTATTTTAAATATGTCTTTAAAACTTTTTTGATGCTTTTTCTTCTGCCTCTGCTGTTTCTTCTTTCTTTGTGAAAACATCTACTTTTTATACTGTTATGAAAAGGAATATTGATACAACTGGGTCCTTTTACTTAAGTACAACTTCTATCAGTTCTGCAACTTCATGAATACTTAGTGGATTTGGTAACATCAATTGTCTCCAACCATCTGTTTGTAGCTTATTACAGAAATGTGATTATTTTGCCTTAGGGGATCCATAATGAGCTCCAGAAAATCCTAGATGTCATCTCCATTTTGAGCTTTTTAACCAATTCTCGCTTCTCATATATTTTCTTTTTCTTATTTAGTAGACCAGAAATGTAGAGAAACCCCATGGCCATCACCAGCCATTACTTTGTCATTCTTCTAATTCCCTACTTCTAAGTTTCTACTTTATTTAAATGTTAACATTTTTTAAAATCTATAAATTATTTTTTGTGAGGTGTAATAGAGATTTCCCTTGATCAGTAAAATACATTTCATCTTCATAGTATACAACTATAAGTGAGTAGCAGCTGGCCAGGAAAAGTTCATATTTGCATGCACCCATATAGTTATGAACATATGATTAGTTTTCATCAATGGAATGTAGGTGAACATAGTGAGTGCCACTTTTGGATCAAGACTTTGAAAATATAAATGTGCCACCTTTTTTCCTGTTTCTCTTCATTGATTTGCTGTATATTTAAAATGATAAGGCCTATGAGCTGTACTGTTTTATATGGTGGCCATTAGCCACATGTGACTATTTCAATCTAAAATAATTAAAATTTAATACAATTTAAAATTAAGTTTCTCATTTACACTAGCCACATTTCAAAAATATAAAGGTTATATTGTCATTATTGCAAAATCTGTTATTGAAGGGCACTGACTTAGATAATGGTAGAGATAAGATGCAGAGAGCCTTGTTCATTGCATCTTAGTGAGGAGAGCCAATCAGCTATTCACCTCTGATGAGTGCATGAAATAAACTTCTAGTTTAGTCCAGTGTACATCTATATATTTGGCGGTCTTTATTTCTTAGTATTTTAGATTGTCCTAGTTGACATAGAAGCTAAGTGGTAATTTTAAAAATATTTTAACATCTTTTTAGACATTTGGAAGATTTCCTACCTCCTTTTATTTTTTTATTTGTTTTTTTCTACATTTAAAATCAAAACAATATAGAATATGTTTTTTTAAAGTAGAATGTTTTAAGATGTAGTGTATTCAAGAAAAAAGTCCAATAGAAACTTCTCATGGTAATGCATCCACAGTGAAAAAGCCATGATGAAACTTCAGGTTTCTTTTTCCACCTTCTTACCTTATAAGATAATATCCTTAAAAGTACAAGCCCAGGAAGGGCATGGTCTTTGGGCTCAGATTCTTTGGGTTTGAGTCATGATTCTAACACTTCATATTTACAACCTTTGTAGTTTTATGGCCATCTATAAATAACAATAATCGAAAAAGTCACCAGAGTTCTGCACATAGAAAACAATATATCAGTTTAATTGCTGATAAAACCTGGGCTGGAGAATATGAATTAGATATGTGGCAATAATGAGCTTCATGATACTCCTGACCCCACCAATTTAGATATTGGCACAGTCTACTGCAGGCAAAGCTTGAGTCTTCAGGAAAGACTTGCACAGAATTGTTGCCTTTCACTGCAGGAGGGGGTTGAGAAGGAGAGTAGAGTGCAAATTTTCAAAGTTTAGGAATTTCAATACATTAACATCACCAAATTCATAGATTTGGACCAAGGTATATCTGACAATTCAATTAGCCACTGTTGAGAGGCAAAGAAGTGTAGCAGAAGACCAGAATAATATAAGGAAAATTTATTGTCAAGAAAACCAGAGAAATAATAGAGAAGGCTTTAGCATTGTGAGTTTGTTTCTTTACAGTAAATGGAGATGGTAATAGTGCTTAGGATTGCTATGACCATTAAATGCTATAATTTTAGTAAAACATATAATGCTTTATGAATGGTAAACTTTTACTAATTCTATTAGTAATAATAATGTCATTTTTTATTGTTGTTGCCTGAACATTTATAGTTGTAGATTAATTATTTGGTAAACTTACTGGAGGGGTGATGAAGCAAAGTTGATTAATGGGTACAAATATATAGTTAGATAGAAAATATAAGATCTTTAGTTTGATAGATCAGTAGGTGATTATAATTAACATTAATCTATTGTACATTTCAAAATAGAAGAAAATAATTCAAATGTTTCTGGAATACAAATATATAAATGTTTAAGGTCATGGATATACAAATTACACCCACTTGATCATATGGATATATCAAATTTTCACGTGTACCTCAAACACATGTACATCTATTATGTATAAGTACAATTTTATTTAAAAAGTAAACATTTTAGTTTTTATGAAGTAGAATTTTTTTAATGAAGCTAGAAAGAATGAATACTTGGGAATTCCTAAGGGATGACAATAACTAATGAAAGTTTTATGGAAAGTAGGAAAGTTGCTGTTTTATTTTCTCTGTAAATTTGACTGGCTCTGGATCAGGCCTGAAACAATTGCTGGCAAACAATATGGGAGGTAAGTTTTGTATCTTAATCAAAAAATTAGAAATTAAGTATTCATTCTTTGAAATAGAAAATATAATGAGCACATATTATTATAATTAGCATTTGCAACTGGAAAAATATTGGGGACCATTAAAATTTAACAGGAATGGAATCATTCTTCCATCTATTAATTTTTACTAATCTATTGGATAATTCTTTAGTGTCATAGTACATCACATTGCACTGTGGGCCTGTTGGGGATGCAAATTAGCTCAACATTCATTCTGTCTTCAAAAACTTGTAGACTAATATATGGAATTTAGTTCTAAATATTATAATCCTTATAATCCTATAATAAAAAGTAAAAATTAGAGCTTTGGGAGTTTAGAGAAAAATATTTTCAATTGTAGAATTTAGAGGAAGTATTATTTTCAGCTGTGGTGTGGTTTGGGGGAGGAAAGCTTCAAGGGAAGTTTGAAGGAGGAGATAGCATATGAACTCAGTTACATTTGGACAAAAGTCATGGTGGTAGGGTTTTCCATGCCAATGAAACAAGAGGTAAAAAAATTATTTCCATCTGGGTAAATTAAAGATACACAAATAAAACAGAAGCAATTAACAAATGTAATATAAATTATTTGCCAAATAATTTTATAGTTTTACTTAGTATAAGAAAAATGTTGAACTTATGTTAATAGATCTAGATAATCTAAAAGCTAAAATGTTTAAGATTGACTTAATTTAGAAAGTTTTGAATTGGTTTAAAAGGAATGAATGAAAATAAACGAATGACTTAGATGTAATTTCTGAGGAAGTTTTATATGTTAATAGTGAGCTATTCTAAATCTTGCTACCTTCTTATAGACACATTGGAATAAGAATCAGTTGTACAGATATGTACTAAAGATGATGGAATCTTGAAGTGAATGTACAACATAAATAAGAAATGTATATCATTCTCTTTAACATGAGCACGTAGTATTTTTAAAACTAACTTGAAATATAGTAAATTGTCAAATTTAAAATACAGGTTTGGAGTATTGCATTCAATTTCAATTATAAATCTCAAAAAATATGAGTAATTTCAGAAACTTTACAAGTAATAAAACAAATCTTCAATTGTTATTATTTTATTGGGTAGATAAAATAAATAATATAGGCAGGCACATGTACACATACACACACCCATGCATACATAGATTCACAGAGATGCACATAAACAGCATAGCACATGCAAGTTATTTATGCATGAAAATTTTTAAAGTTATACTATTATAACAGGTATAGTGCCATTTGTTTAATCTCTTTAAATGAAAGATATTTACATTTAAAAATATTCCAGTAAGATTCACTATGCCTATTATATTTTAACTTTTTATAATTTCTATTATGTTTAGTGTTATCTGTGATATTGGGCCATGCATAAAAGCTAACAATAAAGAAATTTCCATGTTTCCACACTGGGCTGAATATATCCTGAAATTGAATACTGAACAATGAATTATATTATGCAAAACAGAAGACATACAAGCAGAAAAGGCTGAAGTATTTTAATGGCACTTCAAACGCTTCACATAATGGGAACATAGATGGAGGCACACTTTTTTTCTTTGATGGCTCAACCCCTCTATTTCAGTTTCATGAACCTTTTGTTCATGTCCTCTCTAAAAGAATTTTAAAGAACATTTTAGATGTTGCACATTTATGATGTCATATATTTTTATTATCTAAGTTTTATTATCTAGAAGTGGCAAAAGATAGAATTTTTGGCATATTGCATACATTGTCATTTTAAATAAAACAGTTACATTTGCTTAAAATATCTCAGATCATCCAAATTCCATAATGATCTGATACAACCAAACTGTTACACAATATAATGAATAAACAAACTCTTATTTCAAAATCTGAAATTACGTATTATTTGTTTTCCCCCTTGTAATTATATAAACAGTGCACTTCTTTCACATAAACTTAATATAATACATTTTGTATTTGAAAATTCTTATTGATCAAAGCAACTTAAGTTTCTTCAGCAAAATAATATGTATCTAAATTGAAATTATATTTTGTAAATTTTCAGTTACCATAAATCTCTAAATGCTAAATTTTCTTCTGTTTGGTTGCCAATTGTAATTCTTAGTAGTAAACAATAGGTCAAAACAACATGCATCTTTCATCAATTTTGGGAAATAACCAAAGTATAAAAATTATTATAATTATTTCTAAATGAGATGGATGAGTTACGCTTTTGTTTTTTCAATTGACTTATTATGTATCTGTAGATAGATATTACTTATTGCTACAGTGAGTCAAAACACAATATTCTGTTTTTTTTCTCATTTAATAGGGATAAGTGCTGAGTAAACCTCTTCATAAACAAATAGATGATAATACAGTTATGATGTTACAGCAATGTTTCTCAAGTCTTTGTACTTTTTTTTTTTTTTTTTTTTGAGACGGAGTCTCGCTCTGTCGCCCAGGCTGGAGTGCAGTGGCATGAACTCGGCTCACTGCAAGGTCTGCCTCCCAGGTTCACGCCATTCTCCTGCCTTAGCCTCCTGAGTAGCTGGGACTACAGGCGCCTGCCATCACGCCAAGCTAATTTTTTTTTTGTATTTTTTAGTAGAGATGGGGTTTCACCATGTTAGCCAGGATGGTCTCGATCTCCTGACCTCATGATCCGCCCGTCTCGGCCTCCGAAAGTGCTGGGATTACAGGCGTGAGCCACTGCGCCCGGCCACTTTTTGTAACTAAATGAGGCCTTCTTCAATTTTGTTGTAAGCAAATAATTGGAAATCCCTCAAATTGCAAAATGCTTTGATACCTAGTCACTGGTGGAATTAATTTCCTTAACATAAGCAGTAATTTTGCAAACTGTTGAATTGTTAAACCTATAGGTATTAAACCACTGGACAACTCTAATATAATTAGTCAAAGGGAAGGCTTTCTTTTATAAAATAGGAAAATAGTGAAGGTGAAGAGGAAGTGGGAACCAAGATGATGCCTTCACCCTGTGAAAGGTGTATGCTCACTTTTACTCATACAAATCCATTTTGGGACAGACAACACATGGTATTTCAGGATACGGTAATTGCTTTGCTTTAAAATTATCTATACCCTTATATCTTTTTGAGTGTCTTCAGGTAGCCAAGAGGTTGCAGGCAGTGGAATTGGCTGTTGTTTTTCATCCCTGTGAGCAGGGTTATTCTGTCATGAGTTGCTGTAATGGCCTGAGGTAGCTGGCCTCCAACCAGGAGGTGGTGCTTTCAAGAGAGCACCAGCCACAATGGTAGCAGAAGGATCTAAGCTTGCCCTAAGTTGGCCAGGGAAAGTATTCTGGTTTCTCAGGTGGTGGGTGGGGTCATAAAGTTCCCAGGAGTTTATGTCTTTTGTGTTTGGCTACCAGGGCGGGTAGAGAAATACCATCGGCTGGGGGCAGGTTTAGGTGGGTCTGGGCTCAGACTCTCCTTGGGAAGGGCTTGCTATGGCCACTGTGAAGGATGGGGATGTGGTTCTCAGGCCAATGGGGTTATGCTCTGGAGATTATTATGGCTGCCTCTGCTGTGTTATATAATTTGCCAGAGAAGTCCAGGATGGCTGGTAGCAAAAAACTTCACTCAGCTTCCACGCGGTTGGCAAGGTGGTCTTGTTCCCACAGTGCCCTGCTCAGATCTTGCCCCAAGCTATCAGCTTCCCTGTTGAGAAAGCAAGCTTGCCTTTCAGGCCTCCCCCTATCTCATCTACCCGCAGTATTTGCTGTGTCTCCCTGTACTCGTATCTGCATCAGTTCTCATTTGCCCCCTGGATTCTGCTCAAGAAAATTTATGCCCAGTTGAAATTATTACGAATTTAGTTCGAAGCGTCTTTCACACTGTGACCCCTCCCTAATCCTGCTGGCTGCCTTCCCCAAGGGCCTCTGTGAGATATAGTCTGGGATGGCTTCCCTGGGAACGAGCTGGAGACTGGAAGTGCCTACAAGTCTCTTCTTGCTTCTGTTTCTACTTTTGTATTTTGTGCAACTCCCTAAATCTGTTTCAGCTATAGGTAAGGTTAAATCCTTTTCCCATGATCTGGATTTTCAGATTCCCTAGTGGGGATATGTGTTTGAAGGTAGGCTTTCTCCCTTTCACACTTTGGGAACTCACAGTTTTTCACTTGTCTCATGGAATTTGCAATAGTGTGCCACTTCTTTAAAAGGACCTGTAAATTATTTCAGTTTTCTGGTACATTTCTGTGATGGTTCTTGGAGCAAAAGTTCATGGTGTGAGTCTCTACACACTGTTCTGTCTATCTAAGTGGTAGCTGCATGTTAGCCCTGTCTTCTATCTGCCATCTTTGCTAGATTCACCTGTATTATCTTTTTGATTTGTTGTTGGCTTCACGTTAGTGGTATTTTGTTGGATATTTTTGCATCTATGTTTATCAGGGTTATTAGCCTATAGTTTTTGGTTTCTTGCATCCTTACTTGGCTTTTATATCAAAGAAATTATGGCCTGGTACAATGGATTAAGAACATTTTCCACCTATTCAGTTTCTTGAAACACTTTGAGAAAAAAAAAATGGTTTTCGTTCTTTTTTATGAGTTTGGTAGAATTCAGCTGTAAATCTGTCTGTCCCTAGGCTTTTCATTGTTTGGAGCTTTTTTATTACTGATTCAGTCTTATTAGTCACTATTGGTTTGCTCAGGTTTTCTAATTATTCACAGTTCAGTCATGGTAGACTATATGTTTCTGGGAATGTATATATTTTCTCTGGATTTTATCTAACTTTAAACATAGTCATTTATAATTTTTAAATTTTTTAAATGTAGGATCTGTTAAAATATCTCCTTTATATATGTAATTTTATTTATTTGGACGTTTTCTTTTTTCTTTTTTTATGGTTAAGCTATCTAGTATTCTAGCAATTTTGTGAATCATTTCAAAAAAACAAAGTTTTGTTCCATTGATCTTTTGTATTGTTCTTTGTCCCTATTTTGTTTAGTTTTGCTCTGACCTTTATTATTGAATTCCTACTAATTTTGATTTTGGTTTGTTCTTACTTTTCTATTTTCTTGAGTTTTATTTGTAATATTTCTACTTTTATGATGTAGGCATTTATATAAACTTTTCTCTTGCCACTGCTTTTGCTCTATTTCATAGGTTTTGGTATATTATATTTCCATTATTATTTATTTCAAGAAATTTAAAAATTTTCTTCTTAATTTCTTTATGAATACAATGGTCATTTAAGATCTGGTTATTTAATTTCATGCAGGTTCCAATGTACCTCTTATTTTTGATTTCTAGTTTTATTCTTTTGTGGTCTAAGGTACATGACATGATTTCAATTAAAAAAAAATCCTGAGACTTATTTTGTGTTCTACCATGTGATCTATCCTAAAGAATGTTCCATGTGCTGATGAGAAGAATGTGTACCTTGCAGCTGTTGTATAAAATGTTCTGTAAATATTTGTTGAGTTCATATACTCCAAAATGCAATTTAATGTTTTTTGGTCATTTATTTTTGTCTAGATCTAGATGATATGTCATATGCTGAGATTGGGATGTTGAAGTGTCCCTCTATTTTCATATTGGAGTTTCCTCTCACATTTGATCTAATAAAAGTTGCTTTATATATTTGGGTGTTCTGGTGTTCAGTGAATATATATTTACAATCATTATATACTCTTGCTGAAGTGATCCCTTTATCGTTATATAGTAACCACCTTTGTCTCTGTTTATCATTTTTTACTTTAAATCTGTTTTATTTTATGTTAGTGTGGCTACTCTTGCACACATTGGATTTCTGTTTGTGAGGGCTGTCTTTTTCCAATCTTTTACGTTTATTCTGTGTCTTTACAGATGAAGTGGCTTGCTTGTAGACATCATATACTTCAGTCATGTTTTTGTAATCTATTCAGCCAATGTGTGTCTTTTAGGTGGGAAATTTAATCCATTTACATTCACTATTATTATTGATAGGTAAGAATTTATAATTATCATTGTGTTGATTGTTTTCTGGTTGTTTTGAATGTCCTTTATTTCTTTCTCTATTCAATAAGGAATAATCGTTTCTCTATTATTGTTTATAGTTATGTTTGTTGGCTTTCTGTAATGGTAACTTTTCAATTCTTTCTTGTTTTCATTTGTGCATCTGCTTTACCAGTGAGTTTTATATTTTCATGTGTTTTCATTATGGTGGATATTGCCCTTTTACTTCCAGGTTTAGGGCTCTTAAAGCATATTTTAGCACCAGTCTAGTGGTGATGAGCTTCCTCATTTTTTGCTAGTCTGGGAGAGACTATACATATCCTTCCATTTTAAGGACATCTTTGCTAGGTATATTATACTTGGCTGACACTTTTTCTTTCAGCACTTTAAATATATTACACATTCTCTCCTGGCCTGTAAGACTTCTGCTGAGAAATCTGCTCATGGTCTAATATGGATTCCCTTATATGTGACTTGTTTCTTATGTCTTGTAGCTTTTAGAATCCTCTCATTGTCTTTGAATTTTGGCATTTTGATTTTAATTTGCTTTGGAGAAAACTTTACTGAGATGAATCTATTTAGAGATTTTGAGCTTCCTGTGGAGAGTTGCAATGTTTTTGCTATTCTCTTGATGAAATAATTTTCTATGCCTTTGCCCATCTTTTTCCCTGGAATTTCTAAAACTAATATTTGGTTGCTTTATGTTTTTTTATATGTCTCATAGGCTTTTTTTATCTTTTTAATTTATTATTCTTTCTTCTTTTTCTGACTGTTATTTCAAAATACCTATCTTTAATTTCAGAAATCCTTTATACTGCTAGATGTATTCTATTACTGAAGTACTCAATTACGTTTTTTTTATTGTTAATTCTTGTGTGTACATAGTATGTGTATGTATTTATGAGGTCCATTAGATGTTTTGATACAGGCATGCAACATAATCACATTGTAAAGAATGGAGTATCCATCCACTCAAGCATGTATTCTTTGTGTTACAAACAATCCAATAACATTCTATTATTTTAAAATGTACAATTAAGTTATTTTAAATGTACAATGAAGTTATTATTTACTGTAGTCACCCTGCTGGGCTAGCAAACAGTAAGTCTTATCCATTTTTTCTACTTTTTGTATCAATTAACTTTCCCCACCTCCCCCTCAACCCCCCAGTACCCTTTCCTGCCTCTTATAATCATCCTTCGATTCTCTATGTCCAGAGTTCAATTGTTTTGATTTTTAGATTCCACAAATAAGTGAGAACATTCAATGTTTCTCTTTATGTGCCTGGCTTATTTCACTTAACATAATGATCTCCACTTCAATCCATGTTGTTGCAAATGACAGGATATCATTCTTTTTATCATTGAATAGTACTCCATTGTGTATATGTACCATATTTTCTTTATCCACTCGTCTGTTGATGGATATTTAGGTTGATTCCAAATATTAGATATTGTGAACAGTGCTGCAGTAAACAAGGGAGGGCAAATATCTCTGTAATATAGTGATTTTCTTTCTTTTGGGTATATACCCAGCAGTGGGACTGCTTAATCATACTGGTATCTCAATTTTTGGTTTTTGGAGGAACCTCCAAACTGTTCTCCATAGTGATTTTACTTATGTACATTCCTGTCAACAGTAGACAGGGGCTCCCTTTTCTCCACATCCTCACTATCATTTGTTACTGCCTTTCTTTGGATATAAGCCATTTTAACTGGGGTGAGATGATATCTCATTATAGTTTTGATTTGCATTTCTCTGATGATTTATGATGTTGAGCACCTTTTCATATGCCCATTTGTCATTTGTATGTCTTCGAGAAGTATCTATTCAAATATTTTGCCCATATTTTGATCAGATTATTTGATTTTTTTCAATAGAGTTGTTTGAGCTTATTACATATTCTGGTTAATAATCCCTTGTCAGACAGTAAATTTGCAAACATTCTCTCTCATTCTCTGGAATGTCTCTTCACTTTGTTGATTTTTTATTTGTTTACAGAAGCTTTTTAACTTGATGTGATCCCATTTGTCGTTTCTACTTTCCTTGCCCTTACTTGTAGGTTATTGCTAAAAAAAAATTGACCAGACCAATGTCCTGGAGATTTTCCTCAAAGCTTCCTTCTAGTAGTTTCATAGTTTGAGATCTTAGATTTAAATCTCTAATCCCTTTTCGTATGATTTTATATATGGCAAAGGGGGTCTAGTTTCATTCCTTTGCTCATGGATTTCTAATTTCCAAGCACCATTAATTGAATAGACTGTGTTTTTCCCAGTGTATGCTCTTGGAACCTTTGTCAGAAATGAGTTCACTGTAGGTGTGTGGATTTGTTTCTGGGTTTTCTATTTTGCTGTATTGGTCTGTGTGTTTTTATGAGAGTAACACCCTGTTTTGGTTGCTATAACTCTATAGTACAATTTGAAGTAAGGTAATGTGATTTTTCAGTTTTCTGCTTTTTGTTTAGGATAGCTTTGGCTATTGTGTGTCTTTTGTGCTTTCATGTAAATTTTAGGATTTTTTTTCTTTTTCTGTGAAGAATATCCTTAGTATTTTGATAGGGATTGCATTTAGTCTGTAGATGGCTTTTGGTAGTATGGACATTTTAACAGTATTAATTCTTGAAATCAATGAACATGAAATATCTTCATTTTTATGTGTCCTCTTCAAGGTATTTCATCAGTGTTTTACAGTTTTTATTATAGAGGTCTTTGACTTCCTTGGTTAAGTTAATTGTTAGGTATTTAATTTTATTTAATTTTATGTGTAGCTATCGTAAATGAGATTACCTTTTAATGTCTTTTTCAGATTGTTCACTCTTGACATATAGAAATGCTACTGATTTTTGTATGTTGATTTTGTATCTTGTAACTTTACTGAATTTATCAGTTCTAATAGTATTTTTGTGTAGTCTTTAGTTTTTTTCAAATATAAGATCATATCGTCTGCAAACAAGGATACTTTGACTTTTTCCTTTTCAATTTGGATGCCCTTTATTTCTTTTTTTTTGTCTGATTACACTAGCCAGGACTTCTAGCTATGTTGAATAACAGTGGTGAAAGTGGGCATCCTTGATATGTTCCCAATTGTAGAGAAAAAATTTTTATATTTTCCCTATTTAGTATAATACTAGTAGTGAGTCTGTTGTATTTAGCTTTTATTAAGTTGACATATGTTCATTCTATAAGCAGTTTTTTGAGAAGTTTTATTCTGAAGGGACATTGAATTTGTTTTGTACTTTTAGATAATTTCTCCCTGCTCATTAACATCCTTTTTTCTGATTGAAATACTACCGTTAGCATTTCTTGTAGGATAGGTCTGGTATTGATGAAATTCCTTAGCTGTTGTTTGTATGGGAAAGTCTTTATTTCTCCTTCATGTTTGAACAATGTTATCAGCAGATATACCATTTGAAACTAAGTACTTTTTTTCTTTAACACTTTAAATATATCATGCCACTCTCTCCTGACCTGTAAAGTTTCCATTAAAAAGTCTGCTGCCAGATGTATTAGAGCTTCATTGTATGATATTTATATATTTTATCTTGCTACATTTAGGATACTTTCTTTATCCTTGACCTTTTGGAGTTTGATTTTTTTTTTTTTTTAAGACTGAGTTTTGCTCTTGTTGCCCAGGCTGGAGTGCAATGGCGCAATCTCAGCTCAATGCAACCTCCGCCTCCCGGGTTCAAGCAATTCTCCTGCCTCAGTCTCCCGAGTAGTTCGGATTACAGGCATGTGCCACCACGCCTGGCTAATTTTGTATTTTTAGTAGAGACGGGGTTTCTCCATGTTGGTCAGGCTGGTCTCGAACTCCCGACCTCAGGTGATCTGCCCACTTTGGCCTCCCAAAGTGCTGGGATTACAGGCACGAGCCACCACACCCAGCCGGGAGGTTGATTATTAAAGGCCTTGAGGTAGTCTTCTTTGGGTTAAATCTGCTTGGTGTTCTATAACCTTTTTGTACTTAAATATTTATATCTTCTGTGCAGCACACCAACATGGCACATGTATATATATGTAACAAGCCTGCACGCTGTGCACATGTACCCTAAAACTTAAAGTATAATAATAATAATAATAAAAATAAAGCTTCTGCTTCAGTGCAGCTAAAAAAAATATTTATATCTTTCTTTAGGTTTGTTCTCTTTTATTATCCCTTTGAATGAAGTTTCTACTGCTGTCTTTTTCTCTACTCTCTCTTTAAGGCCAATAACTTTTAGATTTACCATTTCAATGCTATTTTCTAGATCCTATAGGTGTGCTTCATTGTTTTTTATTCCTTTTCCTTTTGTCTCCTCTGAGTGTATTTTCAATTAGCCCATCTTCTAGCTCACTAATACTTTCTTCTGCTTGATCTATACTGCTCTTAAAGGACTCTGATGCATTCTTCGGTATGCCAGTTGCATACTGTATGCCATTTTTCAGCTCCAGAGTTTCTGCTTATTTTTAATTACTCCAATCTCTTTGTTAAATTTTTCTGATAGAATTCTTAATTCCTTCTCTCTGTTATCTTAAGTGTCTTTGAGTTTCCTCAACACAGCTATTTTGAATTCTCTTTCTGAAAGGTCTCATATCTCTGTTTCTCCATTACTGGTCCCTGGTGTCTTATTTTGTTCATTTTGTGAAGTCATGTATTCCTGGATGATGTTGATGATAGTAGATGTTCTTCTGTGTCTAGGCATTGAAGGGTTAAGTATTTGTTGTAGTTTTTACTTTCTGGGCTTATTTGTAGCCATTATTCTTAGGAAGTCTTTTTAGATATTTAAAATGACTTGGGTGTTGTGATCTAAGCTGTATCTGCTTTAGGGAGTACCCTATGTCCAGTACCAGTGTGGTTCTTGCAGACTTGTAAAGGTACTGCCTTTATGGTCTTGGACAAGATCCAGGAGAATTCTCTGGTTTACCTGGCAGAGACATGTATTCTCTTCCCTTACTTTTTCCAAAACAAATGGAGTTTCTCTCTCTCTGAGCTGAACTACCTAAAGCTGGATGAAGTGATACAAGCACCCCTGTGGCCACCAGCACTATGGCTGCACTGGATCAGACCTGAAGCCAGCACAGTGCTTGGTCTCACCCAACGCCTGCTGTAACCATTTCCTGGCTACTGCCAATGTTCACTCAAGACTCTGGGGCTTTATAATCAGCAGGTATGAAAGCCAGCCAGGGCTATATCCATTTCTTCAGAGTGGCAAATTCCCTGAGGTCCCAGGTTGGTCCAGTGGTGCTGTTCGGTAGTCAAGGACTAGAGTCAAATCCTTAGAAATCTACTTCATGTTCTATTATACTCCAGCTAAGCTGGCACTGAAACTACAAGGCACAGTCCTTTCCACTCTCTTCACGTTTTTCCAAATGCAGAGGAGCCTCGCTCCGTAGTCACTGCCACCACAGGCAACAGGGAGTACTGCCAGACTAGCACCAATGTATTTTTAAAGCCCAAGGACTTGTAAGTCAGTTTCTGGTGAATGCTGCCTGGCCTGTTAGTCACTTTTCAGGGCAGTGAGCTCCCATCTGGCCCTGGACAGGTCCATAAATGCCATTTATGCCCCCTGTTCTGGGATTGGGGACCCCGAGAGCTCACTTGTTGCTCTACCATCCTGCAGCTGAGCTGGTACCTAAGGTTCAAGACCAAGTGCCCTTTACTTTTCCTTCTGTTTTTCTCAAGAAGAAGGAATTTTGCCCCATAGCCACCATAGCTGGTAGTGCACTGAGTCTCACCTGAAGCCATTATGTCTTAGAGGCTCATTCAAGGCCCTCAACATGGTACGTGGGTATCACTGCTGGTTATTCAGGGCCCAAGAGCTCTTTAGTTAACAAGTGATGTATACTGCTAGGAATGGGTTCTTCCCTTCAAGTCAGTGGATTCCCTTGTATCTCAGATGTTATCTAGAAATTTCTTCCAGTAGCTAGTGCCTGGAACAGGGGCTTCATTTCTCTTACTGGTGCCCTATTATACTGTGGCTGAACTGGTATCCAAAATGCAAGACAAAGTCCATCCCAGTCTTTTCTCTCCTCTCAAATAGAGGGAAGGGGTGTCTTTTGTAGCTGTGAGCTGTGCTTCCTGGGGTTAGGGGAGGAGTCATGCCAGCACTTCCTTAGCCACCCCAGCTGGAGTCTCAGTAGGTTACAGGCCACCCCCAACCCCGTCACCAACCAAGTTCACTGTCTCTTGGCCCAGTTCATCACTAGGACTTGCCTCAGCGTCGCAGTCCTTGTGGCCTCTCCTGTCTTTGAGGTTTACTTTTAGACCCAGAGCACTTTAGCCCTCAGTGGTGAGCAAGGTATGTAAGAACTCAAATTTTCACCATTGGGATGGCAAGTCCCCTTCAGCTAGAAATGCTCCTTCCATGGGCAAGAGTCAGCTGAGTTTGGTCTGGTTTTCCTTTCTGCTCTAACAGCACAGCTCTGAGTTCAATGCCTCACAATTACTATACTCTCTCTCCCCCAGTACCCTGAGATGCTCTCCACACCATGCCAATCCTGCTGGGGGATAGGAAAGTAGTCATGTCAATGATTCAAAACTACTTTTTCTGTCTCCTCACTGCCTATCCCAGTGATATGAAGTTAAAACCAGTACTCTGAGGACTCACCTGATTTTTGTTTCTTATGAAGTTATATATTTTTTTCTTTTCTGTATAAATAGTTGTAAAATTGGTGTCCTCACATGGGGGACTATCAATTGAGCATTCTATTCTGCCACTTTGCTTCCTCTCTCTCTCATATATTTTCTTGTTTGTATTTTTTTATTACATTCATTAATTTTTTAGTTCTAGAGTTCCCATGTGTTTCTTTTTTAAGATGTCTATTTCTTTGTTGAATTTCTCATTTATATCCTGAATTGTTTTTCTCGTTTCTTTGTATTATTTTTCCATATTGTCTTTATCTTACTGAGCTTTTTTGATAACATTATTTCTATTTTTTTAGGCATTTCTTTCTTGTTTTTCTTTTTTGGAGTCGGAGTCTTGCTCTGTCACCCAGGCTGGAGTGCAGTGGTGCAATCTCAGCTCACTGCAACTTCCACCTCCCGGGTTCAAGCTATTCTCCTGCCTCACCCTCCCGAGTAGCTGGGATTACAGGTGTGTGCCACCATGCCTGGCTAATTTTTTGCATTTTAGTAGAGATGGGGTTTCACCGTGTTGTCCAGGCATTAGCAGTAGCAGTAGCAGTGGTAGGTCAACCGTTGGGCCTCTGAGCAGAGCACACGAGCACCAGTAGTGGCAGCAGCAGGCTGGACAGACTATTCCAAGGCCATGAGGTGGTGCCTAAAGGAGAGTGCCAGAGACTGCACCAGTGGCGGTAGGCTGGGTAGACTGGTCACTTGGCCCCTGGGATGTGCATACAGTCACTGGATGTGGCTTGAATGGGCCTATTTTTAGGTCCCCAGAAGGTGTAGATGGGTACCAGTGGTGGTTGCTGGGCTGCATTAATCCCCAGGAACCCAGATAACGTTTGTGGGTGGTGGTCATGTTGAGTGGGACATACCTGTCCTCAAGCCCTTGAGAATGTGCAAGAGCACCAGCGTCCAGTGGCAGGGTGGATTTATCTCTAGGCCTCAGATAACATTTGTGGGCACTGGGGGGTGGTGATGGTGGGTGGAACACATCTTTCCTCATGTCCCTGGATCATGTGTACAGGTGCCTGATGTGGCAGGCAGGGCAGGTTGATCCCTAAGCCTCCAGATGGTTTACTGGGTCTCTGGTGGCAGTAGTGGTCATCAGTGGTACAGATTTATTCTTAGGCCACTGATCAGCATGTGTGGTCTTTAGTAGTGACGGATGGATTAGATTGATTCCCAGTTCCCCTGGCGGCATTTGCAGGTGCCTGGTAGTCCTGCCACTGGTAGGGGAAGGATTGCTATCAATGGCAGTGGTCCCAGGCAAACAACTCTCAGGATCTGGGGAGCATACACATTGGTTCCCTTTGTCCTGGAGGCAGCCTTCCAGATGGACTGAACCATCCATTACCCAGAGTGTAAGACACTGTGTGAGCTAGAGTGCTGGGGACCCTCCTGCACCACTGGATCCAGTTGGTGGTGTGATACTGCAGCCCTCTGAGTGTATGTGGAGAGATGTCAGTGGGGTTTCAGAAATGAGGAAATGCAGGGATTATTGGACCCTAGGGCAGGATGCAGTCTGGGGTGCTGGACTCTCAAAATGGCACTGTGCTGCAGATGCTTGGGTCTCAGGGGCTGTGTGGGACTCAGTGTGAGCTTTCTCTCTGGAACAACACCATCACGTGGATTCCACGCACCTCTGCGTACTAACCTTAGGGCCTGGAAGTGCTCTCCTGTGGCTACAATTCTAAGAATCCAAGGTGCGAATGTTGACGGCTGGAGATATCTTGCTTACCTTTTCCCAGCAATAGGGAGTTCCTGCTGGCTACAAGCCAATTCCAGTGGGGCTGGTTGCTTTGCTTCCCTCTTGTTCTGTGCCTCAGAGTTTCCCTGTCACTTCACTTTGGAATTCCAGTGTTCTCTCTTAGAAGCTCTATTTAATGTGTGGTTAGCTCACTGTTAAGTTGTTCTTTTTTGGAGAAGGCAAGTCCCGGTCACCTCTATTTAGACATTGTGAATCCCCCTCCTATACTGTGTTTTATCTATTTAAAGGAAACAACAATAAACTGTTAAATTAACTGCAGCTTTTCTTATCAATTTATTCTTGCTTATAAATCTACAATCATTTTTAATTAAAAAATCTTTTAAGGCTTTCATATGAATAGCTTTAAATTTATAATTCAATCAAAAGATAATAGACAAGAAAAAACAGAATGTAGTGTGATCTTTTTACATTTTTTATACTAAGTATGCCATATGTATTTGAGAAGTACATAGCAAATATCTTACTAATAGAGCTGTTAAGATTATGGTTTGTGGGTTCTGTTAGCCAAAGTTGAAACCCCACTTGGGTATTCACTGATTATATGAACTTACTCAAATTACTTCTTAATGAATATTTCTTTCTCCATCTGTAAAATAGTACCTGTCTCATAAGGTTTTTGTAAATAAGGCAGTCCATGTAATTTGTTATAATACTTGGTATGTAATTGATGTTCAGTAAATATTATTTGTTGTAATTTTTAAACATATCATCCTTAGGATAAACTCCAAAATTGTAAGGCCTTGAGTATTCTGATCTCTACCTATCATTTAATATATGGGAGTTTTATGTATTAGAAAAAGATCTAGATTTACATTGCAGAGATGAGAAAATTCAAACCATGTAGTGACTTAAAAATATTTTTTCTAAATTATAAAATATAAGTTCAAAGGGACCAAAATCTGTGAGAAAAGAGTTTGAATAAATTTTGGTTTAGTTTCCTGACTAAAACATTAGACAAAACCACAAATTATGGAAGAAATCCCCTTGAAAGTTACATTTAGGAGAGAAAATTTTCTGAACCTAGATTCATTTCAATGTTAAGGGACTTGTTTCTTGTTTCTAATATTACCTTGAGTGACATTTCTATCTAAAATTGACACTTATAATATCTAATTTTATTTGCTTCTAGGTGAGTTCTTGGATGAAGTGCATCCTTATAGCTTCTGGGGACTAATCTCAAGTCATCTGAATTTATTAACAAATCCATGATCTGAGATAAATGACTCTCTAGATTCATGCTATAGTTATTTGATAAGTGTTGACTATCATTAACCCAAAAAGCCACATTTTGGAGGAGCACAAACTTCTTGTAGAATTAATATGATATTAACATAAAATGCTTCATTTTATGGGGTCTGGTTCAGAAATGCATTGCTCTCCCATCTCCGTGATCAAATTGGACCATAAGTTACATGCTGGGCTGCTTTTTGTTGCTTTGGGATGCTGGTACGCTATTATCTCACTGCTAATGGTAGCCTTAGTGGCTTCCCCCGGTGTTCCTTCCAAAGTTTCCAGGCCATTGTTTTAAAAATATGTTTTGGTCTTTTATAGCAAGTGGTTGTTAACATGTTGTTTGTATAATAGAGAGGAAGTGGAACTTCACAGTCTTTACTGGTGGAGAGCCATTTTCAGTTGCCGCTTTGCTTATTAACAAGAAAAGATCTTAATAGTTTCTGAGAAAATTCAGTCCCTTTTACTCAACTTACAATCTCTGTGGGGTTTATAGAGAATCTTTTACAGAGAATGAAAATCTGTGTTTAAAAGAATGTAAAGAGGTTATGTGTGGGATTATAAATGGTATTTAAGTACATATTAGGCATGCTTTCACATTTATGTTTATACAGAATTCAAAAAAATAGTGCATTCAGTTTGCTGTATCCCATTCAAATATTTATCCCTTCGTGATTAATTACAGTTACAGAAATGACTACATAGTTTAAAAGGTTAAAAATGAAGAAAGATTGTCCTACGGATTTTTGGTACTAGTTCTTTGCATGTCTGGTAGAATTTGGCTGTGACTTCATCATGCCCATAGCTCTTTTCTGGATGGTAGGGTTTTTTTATTAGTGTTTCAATTTTAGAACTTGTTATTGGTTGGTTCAGTGGTTCAGTTACTTTCTGGCTCAATAATGGGAGGTTGGGTGTTTCCAGGAGTTTACCCATTTCTTTTAGTTTTTGCAGTTTGTGTGCTTATAAGAGTTGATAATTGTTTGAGGATTTTTTTTTTTTTTTGCTATGGGGTTAATTATAATGTAGCTTTGTTGTTTCTGATGTGCTTATTTGGATCTTCTTTTTTTTCCTTTGTTATTCAAGCTAGTAGTCTATTCTTATTTATTCTTTCAGAAAACAAATTTTGGTTTTATTGATTTTTTGTATTTTAATGTTTCAATTTTCAGTTCTTCTCGAATTTTGGTTATTTATTTTCTTCTGCTAGATTTTGGTTTACTCTTGTTTTTCTAGTTCCTCTGGGTGTGACATTAGGTTCTTAATTTGAGATCCTTCTATCTTCTTGATGTAGGTGTTTAGTGCTTGATATGGTTTGGCTGTGTCCTCATCCAAATCTCATCTTGAATTGTAAATCCCGGGTGTTGAGGGAGAGATGTGGTGGGAAGTGATTTGATTATGGGGGCAGTTTCCCCTATGCTGTTCTTGTGATAGTGAGCAAATATTCAGATATGATGGTTTTATAAATGGTAGTATTTTTCCGCACTCACACACACTTGTTCTCTCTCGCCTGCCACCATGTAAGACGTGCCTCTTCCCCTTCTGCCATGACTGTAAGTTTGGCCTCCCCAACCATGTGGAAGTGTGAGTCAATTAAACCTCTCTTCTTTATAAATTACCCAGCTTCAGGTATGTCTTGATAGCAGTGTGAAAATGGACTAATACGGTACTGTAAGCTTTTCTCTTAATACTGATTTCGCTGTTTCTCAAGGATTCTGTTATATCACGTCTTTTTAATTAATTTCAAATAATTTTTTGATTTCTGCCTTAATTTTGTTCTTTACGCAAAAGTCATTGAAGAAAAAGTTGTTTCACTTCCATGTAATTGTATGATTTTGAGAGATCCTCTTGGAATTGCTTTCTATTTTTTTATTGCACTGTGGTGTGAGAGTGTGCTTATTGTGATTTTATTTTATTTTTTGAAATTTGTTGAGACTTGCTTTATAGCCAAGCATGTGGTTGGTCTTAGAATAGGTGCCATGAGTAGATAAGAAGAGTGTATATTCTGTGTTTGTTGGGTGTAGTATCCTAAAGATATCTACTGGGTCCGATTGGTCAAGTGTTGAGTTTAAGTTCAGAAATATATTTGCTAGTTTTCTGCCTTGACGATCTAATGCCAGCACCTGTTATTTTTTGACTTTATAATAATGACCATTCAGACTGGTGTGAGACGGTATCACATTGTGGCTTTGATGTGCATTTCTCTAATGATCAGTGATGTAGAGCTTTTTTTCATATGATTGTTGGTCACCTATATGTCTTCTTTTGAAAAGTGTCTATTCATATCCTTTGCCCACTTTTTAAAGAGGTTGTTAGGTGTTTTTTAATAAATCTGTTTAAGTTCCTTATAGATTCTGGATTTTAGAACTTTGTCTAAATGTTTTTTCCCATTTTGTAGGTTGTCTGTGCTGTTGATAGTGTTGTTTGCTGTGCATAAGCACTTTTGTTTAATTAGATTCCATTTCTCAATTTTTTCTTTTATTCTAATTGCTTTTGGCATCTTTGTCATGAAACATTTGCCTGTGACTATTTCCTGAATGATATTGCTAGGTTTACTTCCAAGGTTTTTATAGTTTTGGGTTTTATATTTACGTCTTTAATCTATCTTGAGTTATTTTTTGTATCTTGTGTAAGGAAGGGGTCCAGTTTAAATCTTGTCCATATGGCTAGCCAGTTATCTTAGCACTATTTATTGAAAAGGGAATCATTTCTCCATTGCTTGTTTTTGTCAGGTTTGTCAAAGATCAGATAGTTGTAGGTATGTAGTCTTATTTCTGAGTTCTCTATCCTGTTCCATTGGTCTCTGTGTCTGTTTTTGTACCAGTGCCATGTTGTTTTGGTTACTGTAGCCCTATAGTATAGATTGAAGTCAGGTGGGATGATGCCTCCAGGTTTGTTCCTTTTGCTTAGGATTGCCTTGGCTATTTTGGCTCTTTGTTGGTTCCATATGAATTTTAAAATAGTTTTTCTGGTTCTATACATTGCTTTGAAAAGTATGGCCATTTAAACAATATTGATTCTTTTTATGAATGAGCATGGAATATTTTTTCATTTGTTTGTGTCATCTCTGATTTCCTTTAGCACTGGTCTGTAGTTGTCCTTATAGAGATCTTTCACCTTCCTTGTTAGCTGTATTCCTAAGTATTCTATTCATTTTGTGTCCATTGCGAATGGTCGTACATTCTTGATTGGGCTCTTAGCTTGACTGTTTTTGGTGTATAAAAATGCTAGTGATGTTTGCACATTGATTTTTATATCTTAAGACTTTGCTGAAGTTGTTTGTTAGCTTAAGAAACTTTTTGACTGAGACTATGGGGTTTTCTTGATATAGGATCATTTTGCCTGCAAACAGGGATAGTTTGACTTCTTCTCTTCCTATTTGGATGCCCCCTAATTTCTTGCTCTTGTCTGATTGCCCTGGTGAGCACTTCCAATGCTATGTTGAATACGAGTAGTGAGAGAGGGAATCTTTGTCTTGTGCTGGTTTTCAAGGGAAGTTCTTCCAGCTTTTTCCCATTCACTTTATGTTGGTTGTGGGTTTGTCAAAGATGGCTTTTTGAATTTTCAGCATTCTTGTGCTGATTCTTTCTCATCTTTGTGGGCTTATCTACCTTCAATCTTTGAGATCGCTGACCTTTGGATGGGTTTTTCTTTTATTTTCTCCTATTTGATTATCTTGAGTGCGTGATTGTGGCATAAGGTTGATTCAGCCAACTGGCTTTGTTTCTGGGAGATGTTAGAAGGCAAACACTCAGTTCCCAACTCCTGGGCTGTGTGCTCTAACTCTGGGGGACTTGTATCGAGCCCCGACTTTGTTCTCTGGCTCCTTGAGGTTTGGAGTCCACTGCGCTGGCAGTCCTAAGGTGCAGCAGCTTCAGCAGAGTGTTAGTGGATGTAGGGGTGGCTGCGTCACTGCAGGCATTAACCACAGTGGCACAAGCAAGGCAGCTGAGGGGGGCAAGGGGCGCCTTCTGGATACTGTGCGCTCTTGAACTGGAGGTGATGTTGCCTTGGGGCTGGGTGCTGGCCAGTACAGGTCTGGGTGCCTTCTCTGTGCCTCACAAACAGGAGTGATCCCTCAGGGTGTGAGAGGATCCTCTGTTCTCTTCAAAGTGTTAGCACGAGGGCTGGATGCTGGTGGAGGTAGGGCTGGATGCTGGTGGAGGTAGGGCTTGCTGGTTCTGTGCCTGCCAAGACTCCAACTGCAGTGGTGGTCCTGGGGGACAGAGGGAGGAGACTACACTCATGTGTGCTGATGGGACAGGTGAAAAAAAACCCACTCTTGCAGACACGCACCAGCTGCAGTATGGGGAGGGTACATCTGGGGTGGTGCACAGCCCTAGGGGCCGCCTTGCTGGAGCTCTACGCTGGTAAGGCATAGCCTGCCAGCATGGAAGCTATGGTGTGGGCCACTAGGGCACTCAAGACTGACCTGTAAGCAGGTGTGGCCAGGCTGGGGCCCTGGGAAGACCAATAGACCAAGAAGTGCTCAGGTCGGACCAGGCCCGTTGGATGAGCAAGACCGCTCTGCAGAGATTGGGTCTGACAGTTCCCCTAGGGCTAAAGTCTCCTATGGGAGCAAGTCAAGCCTATAGGGATGGCTATCGCTGGCCATGCTCAACTACAGACACTCCTGCACCAAACCCTCTACATCAGTGGCCTTGCTGTTCCACCAGTTCTCTAAGTAGTTCTCCCTACCACCTCAAGTGTCCATGGTGGACGATGGGTCTCCTTCGCAGGCTTCCAGAGGCCTGTGATGAGAGTGGGTTGCTCCTTGCCAGTTCAACTCACCCTTTCTCCTGAGGTGGTTGTGGTTCAAAAATGAATCCCAGTGTGTGGCAGCCCATGCAGGGTTTCCAACTTTCTCCCCCTTAATCCCAGCTCCTGTGTCTTTCCTCTGTCCACTTTCAGTGCCTTCCCTCTGAAGATCTGTTGAAAGGACACCAGTTGCCTCAGTCTCTCCATGGGAGGTCTTCCACTTGTCTGTGTCTAGCTGACCATCTTTCCTTCCCCCCTACTTTCTTGAGGCACAGAGTTAAGTTGTTTATCTGAAATCCTTCTTCTTTTTCAATGGTTGTAGTTACTGCTGTTAGTGTCCCTCATAGTACTGCTTTTGCTGCATTCCATAACTTTTGGTATGTTTTATTTATTTTTGTTTTCATTAGTCTCAAGATGTTTTCTAATTATTTTTGTGATTTCATTTTGTACATTTGTTGTTCAAAAGTGTGTTGATTAATTTCTATATATATGTGAATTTTCCAAGTTTCAACTATTGATTTCTAGTTTCATTTCACTGTGTTTGGAAAAGGTACTTGTTACGATTTCGGTCTTCTTAATTTGTTAAGATTTGCTTTGTGACCTACCATGTGATCTATCCTGGAAGATGTTTCATTTGCTATTGAGATGAATGTGTATTCTGTTGCTGCTCAGTGTAATATGTCTTTTGACCTATTAATATTTTTCAATCCTTTATTTCCTCATTAAACTGTTTTTTTATTTCCATTATTTAATTTTTGGTTTGAAATACTCTATTATTGTTTTACTATTTCTTCATTTAATTATGTTAATGTTTATATATTTGGGTTCTCTTATGTTAAGTGCATATATAATTGTTATATATTCTCAGATAAATGGCCCTTTTATCGTTATATTCTTGTAAGAGTTTTCACTTAAAGTACTTTTTGTCTAATAAGTATGGCAACCTGTACTCTCTTTTGATGCTATTTGCATGCAACAACTTTTTCCCTTTTACTTTCAGTCTATGTGTGTCCTTCAATCTAAAGTGAGTATCTTATAGACAGCATATAGTTTGATATTGTTTTATTCTTTTCCTATCAATCAACCACTCTACCTCTTTTGATTGGAGAGTTTAATACATTTACATGTAAAGGAATTACTGATAGGGAAGGACTTGCTGCATTCATTTTGGTACTGTTTACTTTCTTGACATAGCTATTTTCTTCTCCTCTTATTCTCTTGCTGCCTTCCTTTGTGTTTTGTTGATATTTTGTAGTGATATCTTTCCAGTATTTTCTCATTTTCTGTTCTATGCCATCTGTGAGTATTTTCTTTGAGGTTTCCAGGAACTTATAAAAAACATTTTATACTTATGACAATTTGTTTTCAGCTGATAACTATGTAACTACATCAGTGTACAGAAACTCTGCCATTTTACGTCTCCCCCACTTTGTGTTATTAACATCACAAATTACATATTTTTACTTTTTGTATTCAATAACATAGTTTTATAGTTATAATAATTTTATACTTCATAAGTTTGATGACAGAAATAAAACTGATTTGCACACATATATTTATGACATACAACATGTTGTTTCAATATACATATACGGTGTGAAATGATTATCAAAATCAATCAAATTAATGCAGTAATCACCTCACAGTTACCTTTTTTTCTTTTTTGTAGTGAGGACACTTGAGATCTACTCTCTTAGCAAATTTCAAGTGTACAATACATTATTGTTAAATATTGTTACCATGCTGTACATTAGATCTCCAAAACTTATAATAGAAAATACATATAATTTAACAACGTCTACCAGTTTACCCACCCCCTGACACTTGGCAAGCACCCCTCTACTCTGTTTATATGAGATTGACTTTATTTATTTATTTATTGTTTTGAGACAGAGTCTCGCTCCATAGCCCAGGCTTGAGTGCAGTGGCATGATCTTAGCTCGCTGCAACCTCTGCCTCCCAGGTTCAAGTGATTCTACTGCCTCAGCCTCACTAGTAGCTGGGATTATAGGCCTGTGCCACCACACCCAGCTAATTTTTTGTATTTTTAGTAGAGATGGGGTTTCACCACGTTGGCCAGGCTGCTCTCTAACTCCTGACCTCAAGTGATCTGCCCACCTCGGCCTCCCAAATTTCTGGGATTACAGGCATGAACCACCATGCCCAGCAAAGTTTGACTTTATTAGGTTCCATGTATCAGTGAGATCATGCATTGTTTGTCTTTCTGTAGTGGCTTATTTCACTTAACATAAAATACCCCAGTTTCATTCATATTGTCGCA
Organism: Homo sapiens; assembly: GCF_000001405.40. Lineage (NCBI taxonomy): Eukaryota > Metazoa > Chordata > Mammalia > Primates > Hominidae > Homo > Homo sapiens. The sequence goes on from NC_000023.11 coordinate 33,820,085, forward strand.
AATGGCATGGTTTTCTTATTTTTATGGCTGAATAACAATGACTAATTATATATATATATATATAAACATATATAAACATTCTATTTATTTATCTGTAGAAAGATGCTTAGGTTGTTTTCATATCTTAGCTATTTTGAATGACATGGTTTGGATGTTTTGTCTCTCCAAATTTCATGTTCACATATGACCTCCAATGTTGGAGGTGGGCTTAGTGGGAAGTGTTTGGGTCTTGGCAGTAGATCCCTTATGAATGTCTTGGCACCATCCTCATGGTTATGAGTGAGTTCTCCTCCTGGTAGCTCATGTGAGAGCTGGTTGTTTAAAATGAGTGTGGCGCTTTCCCCCCTCACTCTTGCTCCCCTCTCTCTTTTGCTCCCACTTTCACCATTTGATGTACCTGCTTCCCCTTCACCTTCTTCCTCCATGAGTGAAAGTTTCCTGAGGCCTCACTAAGAGAAAATGCTGGTGCCATGCTTTCTGTACAGCCTAGAGAATGACAAGCCAAAACAAAAACTTTAATTTTTACCTACATTTATTGAGTCTCTTCGGTCTGGTAGAACATAACTGAACCTAGTCATTTCTGTAGAACTGTTAACTCAGTAATTTTTTTTTTTTTTGAGGTGGAGTTTCACTCTTGTCACCCAGGCTGGAGTGCAATGGTGCGATCTCTGCTCCCTGCAACCTCGCCGCCTAGGTTCAAGCGATTCTCCTACCTCAGCTTCCTGAGTAACTGGGATTGCAGGCACCCGCCACCACGCCCAGCTAATTTTTATATTTTTAGTAGAGGTGGGGTTTCACCATGTTGACCACGCTGGTCTCAAACTCTTGACTTCAGGTGATCCACCTGCCTCGGCCTCCCAAAGTGCTGGGATTACAGACATGAGCCACTGCGCCCGGCAACTCCGTAATTTTTAAATTCAATCCATAATTTTCTACATTAGGAAAGGTTTTACATTCCCTCTCCTTTTTTTTCTAAGGTGGTATTTAACTACAGGTGTAGATGACAGGCTCATTTAGAATCAAAGATGTATTCAGAGAGGAATTATCTGATTCTAGATTGTCATGTGTCCATCTCATGTATCCTTTGCAATAAATATCGTTCTGTATTGCTCTCAGCTGTAATCATTTTTCATCCTGATATTACCTAAGATAGTCATGCTATCTCTGAAATCGTAGTTGTAAGATTAATGCTGTTTTCTACTACAACATGACATTATTTCAACAATGAGATCCTTAGAATCTACCACCTAACTTCCTTGCTTGTTTCAAATCCTTTTTTTTTTCTTTGCTTACTTTTATGCCTTTCCTGGGAGCAGAGAAAAATCTTGCTTCTCTCTTCTGTCACGCTGCAGCCACAAAAAGCTTCACAAACTGTCTCAGAGCAAACTGATCTTTCTAGTAAAACTTGACCTCTTTGCCTAATTTGTCTGCTGTTACACGATGCTGAAGTGTAGTAAAGGCTGGAGTCTTGAAGATCTCTAAGTCATATGATAAACAAAGCACAGATTTCTACTCTTTGTAAATTGTATTCTATTTGGAAGTTCTATTCCCCTCACCTTCCTCAAAACTTGAATGTGCTTTAAGTGAGGCATAATTCAAGATCCTTTTAAGAAACACTCTCCAGCATCTAATATGTATGTTTCTTTTCTTACTCAGCCTCTGCCCCCTCTTGCCAAGCCAAGCAGTTTTAGTGAAATGTCTGCCGTGGCCTCCCTTCCATTGGACAGTGGCAGCCAAAGACTAGCTTGAGTAGTGACCAACAATTTGGGAGACAAAGTTATTGCAGGTAGATGTGCACAGACACATGCACACATAGGTAAATATTTCAAAAAATAACTTTGTCACAGCTAACCCTATTCTAATATTGCTATGGAACATACAATATGATAAACACATAGTACATATTCAGTATGTTTGTGAATTTAAAAATGTATTGGTTCTGCTCTCTTCAAGACAGAGATATTACATTTGAATTCATGTAAGTTCATTTTTTTGCATTGATTTACTATGAATTAAAAGTAAAACAAATAAGGAATGTATACCAGAGAAATCGTCAACACCTTGGGAGATACTAAGATGGATTTACATGTAAAATCTGCCCTCAATGAGTTTATATGCTAATAGGAAGAGACATATTTGTTCATAAATAACTCTAACACAAAGCAGATTGTGTGCCATAATAATAAGACATATTAATAGCTACAATTTATTAGACTTTAATATCTGCCAAGCTCCATGCTTGGTACTTCATATACATTAACTTATTTATTGCACATAACAACTAGTGATGTTGTTGTTATCATTTCAGTAGAAATAAAAAATCAGAGAAAGATAAGATTAACATGAGTGGGGTGGGATTAAGACCTTCCTCATTAATGAAGCAACATTTAAACTAGGTCTTTATTAAAATGGGTGGGAAACTTAGAGGTGTATTTGGAGAATACAATGTTATTGGCATCAAAATAACAAGAGATTTGTGAGGGGTTAATATGATTAGGAATGTACTTTGAAGAGATTTCTGATAGAAGTTTGAAGATCAGAGAGTAAAAATAACTCTCTCATCAAGAAGAATAAAATTAAATGTTAAATGCATCTTTAATGAATAATTGGCACATTAACTGAAAATTGCAGATTTTAATAACTCTATAAATTCTTATAACTTAAGCAAGTCTACAAATCCATAGTCCAGTTATGCATCAGTGCTCAAGGTACAGTGAAATTAGAAGCCAATGACATGTATGTCCCCTTTTAAAAAGCCGGATATTTAAATGTCTTTTGCTATCAAACACATAAAAATCTTCAAAAATGCCATTATTTGATAATTACATTATATCTATTAAGTAATGAGTATTTGATGACTATATTTCAATCCTTGAAAAAAGAAAGAAACTATAGTTATCTAATAATGTGATTGATTCACCTAATCCAAGGGACCTCTCTTTTGAATGAATCCTATAATTATTTATGGTCTTTAATCGAGCTTACATAGACACCAATTTTTGTCACCTCAACTTTATGTTATAAATGTGTTAATAGATAAGAATCTGGAGCAAAATAAAAAGATCAAAGATTTTACAAGTCTAGGCGATAAAATTTGATCTGAACTAAAAATCAAATTTAAAAGGCACTCTTTTAAGCAATGTTTCTGTCCATTATAGCTGAGATTTAATAATTAATTACTGATGTCTCCATAATTTTCTGATAAGATTATGGGGCTAATAAAAGCAAAATTACATATTTTTGTAATTGTATAAGTCGATTAGCTTTCCACAGATAAACACACCATCTTTTCTCAGTGCTATTGATGAAAATTATGCTCAACAAACCACTGATTTCATTAGATATTGATAGGAATTATGTTAGAAAGAGATTCTCTGGACAACTTAGTTTGAGAAAGTACTAACTTCAAAATTACTGCGAATTACTTCAAAATACCAACTTCAGATTTTCATTTTGTTTTGTTTTTATTATAAACTTTCTCTTCACGTTTAAAATGCCCATATGCACTGCAAATTTCTAAGAAAATAATATAGTATGTAGTATTTCTTAAAATTATATCACAGAATCCTTTATTATGTAAACTTTTTACCCAAATATTAAGCTATAAAATATATTTGAATATTCCGCTGTATGCCATACAATAAAAATTCTTGTAATATGTGTTTTTTAAAAATTTTTATTATAAGTTCCAGGGTACATGTGCAGGATGTGCAGGTTTGTTACATAGGTAAACGTGTGCCATGGTGGTTTGCTGCACCTATCAACCCATCACCTAAGTATTAAGCCCAGCATGCATTAGCTATTTTTCTCGATGCTCTCCCTCCCTCAACCTCACCTACCAACAGGCCCAAGTGTGTGTTGTTACCCTCCCTGAGTCCATGTGTTCTCATTGTTCAGCTCTCAGGTATAAGTGAGAAGATGCAGTGTTTGGTTTTCTGTTCCCGTGTTAGTTTGCTGAGGATAATGACTTCCAGCTCCATCAATGTCCCTGCAAAGCACATGATCTTATTTCTTTTTATGGCTGCATAGTATTCTTTGGTGTATCTGTACCATATGTTCTTTATCCAGTCTATCACTGATGGACATTTGGGTTGATTCCATGTCTTTGCTGTTGTGAGTAATGCTGCAAAGAACATATGTGTGCACATATCTTTATAATATAATGATTTATATTCCTTTGGATATATACACAATAATAGGATTGCTGGGTTAAATGATATTTCTTGTTCTAGATCTTAGAGGAATCATCACACCATCTTCCACAGTGGTTAAGTTGATTCACATTCCCACCAACAGTGTAAAAGCATTCCTATTTCTCTGCAACCTTGCCAGCCTCTGTTATTTCTTGACTTTTTAATAATCACCATTCTAACTGGCATAAGATGATATCTCATTTTTGTTTTGATTTGCATTTCTCTAATGATCAGTGATGTTGAGCTTTTTTTCATATGTTTGTTGACCACATGAATGTCTTCTTTTAAGTAGTGTCTGTTCATGTCCTTTGCTTACTTTTTAATAGGCTTGTTTTTTTTCTTGTAAATTTGTGTAAGTTCCTTGTAGATTCTGGATATTAGACCTTTGTCCAATGGATAGACTGCAAAGATTTTCTCCATTCTGTAGGTTACCTGTTTGCCCTGATGACAGTTTCTTTTGCTGTGCAGAAGTTCTTTAATTAGATCCCATTTGTCAATTTTTGCTTTTGTTGCAATTGCTTTTGGTGATTTCATCATGAAATATTTGCCCGTGCCTATGTCCTGAATTGCCTAGATTTTCTTCTAAGGTTTTTATAGTTTTGGGTCTTACATTTAAGTCTTTAATCCATCTTGAGTTAATTTTCATATAAGGTGTCAGGAAGGGGTCCAGTTTCAATTTTCTGCATATGGTTAGCCACTTCTCCTAGCACCATTTATTAAATAGGGAATCCTTTCCCCATTGCTTGTTTTTGTCAGTTTCGTCAAAGATCAGATGATTGTCGATGTGCAGTTTTATTTGTAGTTTCTCTATTCTATTCCATTGGTCTACATTCCTGTTTTTGTACCAGTACCATGATGTTTTGTTTATTGAAGCCTTGGAGTGTGGTTTGAAGTTTGGTAGTGTGATGCCTCCAGCTTTCTTCTTTTTGCTTAAGATTGTCGGGGCTATATGAGCTCTTTTTTGGTTCCATAGGAATATTAAAATAGTTTCTTCTAGTTCTGTGAAGAATGTCAATGGTAGTTTAATGGGAATAGCCTTGAATCTATAAATTACTTTGGGCAGTATGGCCATTTTCACAATATTGATTCTTCCTATCCATGAGCATGGAATGTTTTTCCATTCGTTTGTGCCCTCTCTGATTTTCTTGAGCAGTTATTTGTAATTCTCCTTGAAGAGGTCCGTTACTTCCCTTGTTAGCTGTATTCCTAGGTAGTTTATTCTCTTTGTAGCAATTGTGAATGGGAGTTCATTCATTATTTGGCTCTCTGCTTGCCTGTTGTTGGTGCATAGGAATGCTTGTGACTTTTGCACATTGATTTTGTATCCTGAGACTGCTGAGGTTGCTTATCAGCTTAAGAACCTTTTGGGCTGAGATGGTGGGGTTTTCTAGATATAGGATCATGTCATCTGCAAACAAAGACAATTTGACTTCCTCTTTTCCTATTTGAATACCCTTTAGTTCTGTCTCTTGCCTTATTTCTCTGGCCAGCACTTTCAATACTGTGTTGAATAGGAGTGTTGAGAGAGGGCATCCTTGTCTTGTGCTGGTTTTCAAAGGGAACGCTTCCTGCTTTTCCCCATTCAGTATGATATTGGCTGTGGGTTTGTCATAAATGGCTCTTATTATTTTGAGGTATGTTTCTTCAATACCTAGTTTATTGAGAGTTTTTAACATAAAGGGATGTTGAATTTTATTGAAGGTCTTTCCTGTGTCTATTGAGATAATCATGTGGTTTTTGTCTTTTGTTCTGTTTATATGATGGATTATGTTTATTGATTTTTGCATATGTTCAACCAGCCTTGCATCCCACAGATGAAGCCAACTTGATCGTGGTGGATACGCTTTTTGATGTGCTGCTGTATTCAGTTTGTCCATATTTTATTGATAATTTTTACATTGATATTCATCAGAGATATTGGCCTAAAGTTTCCTTTTTGTTCTTGTTGTATCTCTGCCAGGTTTTGGTGTCAGGGTGATGCTGGCCTCATAGAATGAGTTAGAGAGAAGTCCCTCCTTTTCAATTGTTTGGAATAGTTTCAGAAGGAAGGGTATAAGGCTCCTCTTTGTATGACTGGTAGAATTCAGGTGTAAATCCATCTGGTCCTGGGCTTTCTTTGGATTGGTAAGCTATTTATTACTGCCTTAATTTCAGAAATTGTTACTGGTCTATTCAGGGATCTAACGTCTTCCTGGTTTAGTCTTGGGAGGGTGTATGTGTCCAGGAATTTATCCACTTCTTCTAGATTTTCTAGTTTATTTGCATAGAGGTGTTTATAGTAATCTCTGATGGTTGTTTGTATTTCTGTGGGGTCAGTGCTGATATCCCCTTTATCATTTTTTATTGTTGTGTCTATTTGATTCTTCCCTTTTTTCCTTATCATTAGTCTAGCTAGTGGTCTATTTATTAATATTTTCCAAAAACCAGCTTCTGGATTCATTGATTTTTTTGGAAGGGTTTTTTGTGTCTCTGTCTCCTTCAGTTCCGCTCTGACGTTGGTTATTTCCTTTCTTCTGCTAGCTTTGGAGTTTCATTGCTCTTGGTTCTCTAGTTCTTGCAGTTGTGATGTTAAGGGGTCAATTTGAGGTTTTCTAGGTTTTTATATGGGCATTTAGTGCTATAAATTTCCCTCTTGACACTGCTTTAGCTGCATCCCAGAGATTTTGGTATGTTGTCACTTCATTCTCATTGGTTTCAAAGAACTTCTTGATTTCTGCCTCAATTTCATTATTTATCCAGGAGTCATGCAGGAACAGGTTGTTCAGTTTCCATGTTATGGTATGGTTTTGAGTGAGTTTCTTAATCTTGAGTTCTAATTTGATTGTGCTGTGGTCTGAGAGACTGTTATGACTTCAGTTCTTTTGCATTTGCTGAGGAATGATTTACTTCCAACTATGTGATCAATTTTAGAGTAAGTGCCATGTAGTGTCGAGAAGAATGTATATTCTGTTGGGTGGACAATTCTGTAGAAATCTATCAGGTCCACTTGATCCAGAGCTGAGTTAAAGTCTTGAATATCTTTATTAATTTTCAGTCTCAATGATGTAATATTGACAGTGGGGTGTTAAAGTCTCCCACTATTATTGTGTGGGAGTCTAAGTCTCTTTGTAGATCTCTAAGAATTTGTTTTATGAATCTGGGTACTCCTGTATTGGATTCATATATATTTAGGATAGTTAGATCTTCTCGTTGAATTTAACCCCTTTATCATTATGTAATGATAATTTATCTTTGTTGGTTTAATGTCTGTTTCATCAGAAACTAGGTTTGCAACCCCTGCTTTTTTCTGCTTTTCATTTCTTGGTAAATTTTTCTACTTCCTTTTATTTTGAGTCTATGTGTGTCTTTGCTTGTGAGATGGGTCTCTTGAATACAGCATGCCTATGGATCTTGATGCTTTATCCAGCTTTCCATTCTGTGTCTTTTAATTTGGACATTTAGCCCATTTACCTTTAAGGTTAATATTGTTATATGTGAATTTGATCCTGTCATCGTGATGCTAGCTGGTTATTTTACAGACCTCTTTATGTAGGTGCTTCATAGTGTAACTGGTCTGTATACTTCAGTGTGTTTCTGTAGTGGCTGGTTACTTTTTTTTTAAACATATTTAGTGCTTCCTTCAGGAGCTTGTGCAAGGCAGGCCTGGTGTTGATGAATTCCCTCAACATTTGGTTGTCTGAAAAAGATTTTATCTCTCCTTTGCTTCTGAAGTTTAGTTTGGCCAGATATGAAATTCTAGACTTAAATTTTTTTCCTTTAAAAACGTTAAATATAGCCACCACCCCCCCCATTTCTTATGACTTGTAGGGTTTCTGCTGAGAGGTCTGCTGTTGGTCTGATGGGCTTCTATTTATGGGTGACCTGGGCTTTCTCTCTAGCTGTCCTTAACATTTTTTGCATTCATTTTGACCTTGGATAATCTGATGATTATGTGTATTGGGGTTGATATTCTCATGGAGTATCTTACCGGAGTTCTCTGGATTTCCTGAATTTGAATGTTGGCTTCTTGTGCTAGGTTGGGGAAATTCTCTGGAATAATATCCTGAAGTGTGTTTTCCAACTTGGTTCCATTCTTCACATCTCTTTCAAGTACCCCTATCAGTCGTAGGTTTGGTCTTTTAACATAATCCCATAGTTCTTGGAGGTTTTGTTTGTTCTTTTATATTATCCTTTTTCTCTAATTTTGTGTGCCTGCCTTATTTCAGCAAAATAGTCTTCAAGCTCTGATATCCTTTCTTCCACCTGGTCTATTGAGCTATTAACAGAAGTTACATAGTTATACTAGTGTTTGCATTGTGAAGGTCTCATGTTGTGTTTTTCTGCTCCATCAGGTCATTCATGTTCCTCTCTAAACTGGTTATTCTGGTTAATAGCTCCTGTATGTTCTAGTTAATAGCTTCTGTAATGTCTTATCGTGGTTCTTAGCTTCTTGCAATGAGTTATAACATACTCCTTTAGTTCAGTGAAGTTTGTTATTACCCATCTTCTGAATCCTACTTCTTTCAATGTATCCATCTCAGCCTCAGCCCAGTTCTGTGCCCTTGCTGGAAATGTGTTGAGATCACTTGGAGAAGAGGCACTCTGGCTTTTTGAGTTTTTAGCATTTTTGCTTTGATTTTTTTCTCATCTTCATGGGTTTATCTACCTTTAATCTTTGAGGCTGCCGACCTTTGGATAGGGTTTTTGTGGGGTCTTTTTTGTTGATTTCATGGTTATTGTTGTTGTTTTCTGTTTGTTTTTCTTTTAGCAGTCAGGCCCCTCTTCCATAGGGCTGCTGCAGTTTGCTGGGGGTCCACTCCAGACCCTATTCACCTGGGTCCCTCCTGCAACTGGAAGTATCACCAGTGGAGGCTGCAGACCATCAAAGATGGCAGCCTGATCCCTCCTCTGTCCCAGAGGGGCACCGACCTGATGCCAGCCAGAATGAACCTGTATGAGGTGTCTGGAGACTCCCATTGGGAGGTCTCACCCAGTCAGGAGGAGCAGGATCAGGGACCCACCTAAATAAGCAGTCCGGCTGCCCCTCGGCAGAGCAGGTGTGCTGCTCTGGGGGGATTCCCCCTCGTCCAACCTGTTCTGACTCTCAAAAACCAGCAGGCAGAAAAGATTAAGACGATTGATCCACGATACCATAGCCATCCCTCCTCCTAGGTGCTCCTCTCAGGGATATCAGAGTTCTGTCCATAAACCCCTGGCTGGGGATGCTGAAATTCCTGTAGGGAGGCCCCGCCCAGTGAGAAAGAGTGGATTGGGGTCCCACCTAAAGAAATATTCTGGCCACTACCTGCTTCAGATACTGTGCTATGCTGTGGGGAATTGCTCCTGGTCCATACTGGCCAGTCTCGCTGGCACCAGCAGTAGGGGAAAAAGGCCAACTGGAGCCGCAGTGATTGCGACTGTCTCTCTCCCCCAGGAACTAAGTCTTCTTAGGCAATCTCCAGCCTGCTGTGCTGGCCAGTTGGGATTCCAAGCCAGTGAGTTTTACCTTGTGGGGCTCCATGGGAGTGAGGCTGCTTGGCTTCCTGGCTTCAGCCCCCTTCCCACTGGAGTGGATGGATCTCTTGCCTTACTAGAGTTCCCAGAGCCAGAGTATGCAAATACTCCTGTGTCTCAGTGCCTGCTCGAGTTTCTGCCCACTTGCGCAGCCTCTGTGAGTCTGCACAGCAGTGTTCTTGGGATCCAAGGCCCTGGTGGCGTGGGCTCACGTGGGGACCTCCTGATCCTCAGGTTGCAAGGATCCGTGGGAAAAGCATGATCTTCAGGGAGGCTAGCACAATCCCTCACCACCTCCCTTAGCTGGAGGAGGGAGCTCCCTTTGCGCTGTGTAGCTCTCGGGTGGGCCCTCACTCCACCCTGCTTTTTATTGCTCTCTGTGGGTCACGCCAACCACCTAGTCAGTCCCAATGAGAGAACCTTGGTACCTCAATTGAAGATGCAGAATTCACTCGCAGTTTTCATCCTTCTTGGTGGGAGGTGCAGAGCAGAGCTGTTTCTATTTGGCCATCTTGGCTGCTCCCCTCCATATGTGTTGTTTTTATGTTCAGATTCAAATAATCCTAATACATGGGGAAAAATTAATGATTTCTTTCTCTATGTGTATCTGGTTGGCTACTTTATTCAAATAATACTTAGATGGATGCTGATTGGACACATTTCATAAGCCAATGGCTATTTGCTGCATGGTGACAGTTTAGTTTCTGTTTCCCTGAAGTCGGAGATTTAAACGCAAAGAATTTACTTGGGTGGGACAGGGAACACCAGCAGAGGCATTGATGTGTAAGACAGGGAAGGCAAGGCAGCTGATAATGAGTATGTTCTTAAGCCAGTTACCACAATGGACAACCAAATATTAATCTTGCAAGCAAATCCTGTAAAACTTTTCAAAAATGCATGCTTTCACATTATCCCAGCTATGGGATGCTGGAACTGTGATGTTCATACCTGCACACCAACCAGTCATTTGTTAAGGGCCGTCCTTGGGAGTTAGGAGTGGGTTGGGGAGGTGATAAGGGAGATTGTTTTCTAGGCACTTCTGGGCAAAATGGTCTCTGGCAGTACTACTCAAGACATTATCTGTTAACAGAACATGTTTACCAATTATGGGAATAGCTTTCCAAATTGCCAGTGCATATGAAGTGGTGAATAGATTGCAAGGAATCATCTAATAATAGATTAATGGGGCTTGAGAACAAGATGGTGAATTGGGCATGCATTTCTTACCTCCTATTGCATTGAATTTTCAAGACATGGGGAAAAAGAGCCTTGCAAGGGAAAAAGTCATTAAAGCAGTGGAAAATAAGAAATGGTACCACCAGTAGTCTAGAAATGTTGAGAGACTTCTAACAAGAGGAAAGTAGGTAGAATGGCATTGGCAAAGAAAATTAGATCCCAAAATATGCAGAGAGGCTTCTTATAGGTAAGAATGGTTCTGTGGAAGCTCTAAGCATGGGGTCACTTCATGAAGAAATGGAAGAGAGTCTTGAAGTGTATATCAGGGTGATTAATTAGAAAACTTTGGAGCAGCAAAGTTTTTTTTTTTTTTCCTCTCCACTTCTTTTATTTGTGTTGAATACTTGGCAGAAGGCCATGAGTATTAGTCCTGAGGCTGAGAATGAACAGCAGAGCTCATATTGCCTTTAGACACCCAGAAGAGGCGGGGAATCTCTGACAGTCAGAGGACAACTGTATCAGGAACATGTTCCCTTTCCCTTCACTCTGCCAGAGCAGACCGTGGTAAACAGATTAGGCAGGAGATGGAGACAGAAGTGCTCAAAACAATTCTGAGCACACCAACATGAACTATCAAATATCTGAGGGAAATAAATATCATAGAAAGCAAAATGCTAAAATTAAGCAACAGGAGATTTAACACTCCCCTCCTTCACCAGATGAGGGGGAGGGGAGACACTTAATATGGTGTGGTTGAAGAGTAGAATGTTCTCTGATAATTGGTGAATTACCAAGTAATATTGAACCAAATAATTCTTTACCAAAGCAAGTGAAATGGGTACATGCTGGAACATAAGAGGGAAAACCGAACCTTGGTGAAAAGAGATCCAGATATACTATTGTTATTCTAGGTAGATTTCCAGAGAGAGAGGTTAAAATAAATGTAAAGAGGAAAAGTAACTAAATCATGGAAGAAAATTTCCCAGACTTACTGCTGACCACCGGCAAGTTGGATGGCAAAAAGGATAAATGTTAACTATCCACACGTAGACACATAGTGATGAAATGTTAGAACAGTGACGATAAAGATAAAAACCTTTAAATGGTTTCACACAGAAAAATGAAACAAAAACAAAGCAAAAACATGCAGAGTCTCCACAAAAGAGAATGAGTCATATCACTGTCACACTTATTATCTACAACATCAGGTAAAAAACGTGGAGCAGGAATACTTGATATTAAATAATAGCATCAAGAAAGGCTCATCAACATTAAATACAACTGATTTGTTAGGAAAGAGAAGTAAAATTCATCAAATGCCTAACGGATTAAAACTTTTGTAATATGATTTTATCTCACCTAGAGGTAGATAAGGCATAGAGATACTAATTACTCAAAGCAAGACAGAAGTTATGAGTAGATGTATGATACAAACTCATGTCTTTTAGATGCTATGAGCTCTTGTCCTATCCATTGCTATATTCTTTGTATTTCTTTTTATTATTATTCAAAAAATATTTGTGGGTACATAGTAGGTGTATATATTTATGAGGTACATGACATGTTTTGGTACAGGCATGCAATGTGAAATATGCACATCATGGAAAATGGGGTATCCATCCCCTCAAGCATTTCTCCTTTCTGTTAAAAGCAATCTAATTACATTCTTTGTTATTTAAAATTATACAATTAAGTTATTATTGACTTATTGCTACCCTATTGTGCTGTCAAATAGTAGGCCTTATTCATTCTTTCTATTTTTTTGTTTTTGTATCCATGAACCAAACCTACCCCCATCTCCCACCCAGCCTCCACTACCCTTCCCAGCCTCTGGTAACCATCCTTCTACTCTCTGTGTCCATGAGTTCAATTGATTTGATATTTAGATCCCACAAATAAGTGAGAACATGAGGTGTTTGTTTTTCTATGCCTGACTTATTTCACTTAATGTAATGATCTCCAGTTCTATCCATATTGTAGCAAAAGACTGGATCTCATTCTTTTTATGACTGAATAGTACTCCACATTTTTCTTTATGCATTCATCTGTTGATAGACACTTAGGTTGCTTTGGAATTTTAGCTATTGTAAATAGTGCAGCAACAAGCATAGGAGTGCAGATATCTCTTCAATATACTGATTTTCTTTTTCGGGGGTATATACCCAGCAGTGGGATTGCTGGATTTTATGGTAGCTCAATTTTTAGTTTTTGGAGGAACCTCCAAACTGTTCTCCATAGTGATTGTACTAATTTACATTCCCACTAACGGTGTACCAGGGTTCCCTTTTCTCCACATTCTCACCAGCATTTGTTATTGCTTGTCTTTTGGAAGCCATTTTAACTAGGGTGAGATGATATCTCATTGCAGTTTTGATTTGCATTTCCCTAATGATCAGTGATGCTGAGCACCTTTTCCTATGCTTGTTTGCCATTTGTATGTCTTCTTTTGAGAAAGGTTTATTCAAATCTTTTGCCCATTTTTAATCAGATTAGTAGATTTTTTTTCCTATAGAGTTGTTTGAGCTCCCTATATATATTGGCTATTAATCCTTTGGCAGAGAGGTAGTTTGAAAATATTTTCTCCCATTCTGTGAATTGTCTTTTCACTTTTTTGATTGTATCCTTTGCTGTGAAGAAGCTTTTTAACTTGATGTGATCCCATTTGTCCATGTTTGCTTTGGTTGCCTGTGCTTATGGGGTATTGCTCAAGAAGTCTTTGCCTAGACCAATGTCCTGGAGATTTTACCCAAAGTTTTCTTGTAATAGTTTCATAGTTTGAGGTCTTAAAATTAAGTCTTTAATCCATTTTGGTTTCATTTTTGTATATGTCAAGAGGTAGGGGTCTAGTTTCACTCTTTTGCATATGGATATCCAGTTTTCCTAGCACCATTTATTGAAGAGACTGTCTTTTCCCTAGTGTATGTTGTTAGCAGCTTTGTCAAAAATGAGTTCAGCCAGGGGCGGTGGCTCATGCCTGTAATCCCAGCGCTTTGGGAGGCCGAGGCAGGCAGATCACGAGGTCGGGAGTTCGAGACCAGCCTGGCCAACGTGGTGAAACCTCGTCTCTAATAAAAATACAAAAAATTAGCCGGGCGTGGTGGCAGATGCCTGTAATCCTAGCTACTGGGGAGGCTGAGGCAGGAGAATCACTTGAACCCGGGAGGCAGAAGTTACAGTGAGCCGAGACCATGCCACTGCATTCCAGCCTGGACAACAGAGCAAGGCTCTGTCCCCAAAAAAAAAAAAAAAAAAAAAAAAAAAGAGTTCCCTGTAGGTGGGTGAATTTGTTTCTGAGTTCTCTATTCTGCTCCATGGGTCTATGTGTATGTTTTTATGTCAGTACAATGCTATTTTGGTTACTACAGCTCTGTTATATAATTTGGAGTCATGTAATGTGATTTCTTCAATTTTATTCTTTTTGCTTAGGATAACTTTGGCTATTCTGGGTCTTCTATGATTCCATATAAATTGTAGGATTGTTTTTCTTTATTTATGTGAAGAATGTCATTGGTATATTGATAGACATTGCATTGAATCTGTGGATTACCTTGTACAGTATGGACATTTTAACTATATTCACTCTTGCGATCCATGAACATGAAATATCTTTCCATATTTTTGGTTTCCTCTTCAATTTTCTACATCAGTGTTTTATAGTTTTAATATAGAAATCTTTCATTTCTTTGGCTAATTCCTAGATATTTATGTGTGGCTATTGTAAATGGGACTACTTTTTAAATTTCTTTTTCACATTGTTCAGTGTTGGCATATATAAATGATACTGATTTTTGTATATTGGTTTTGTATCCTGCAACTTTACTGAATTAGTTTGTCAGATCTAATAATTTTCTTGTGGAGCCTTTAGGTTTTTCCAAATATAAGATCATATCACTAGCAAATAGAGATAATTTCAATTCTTCCCTTATAATTTGAATGCCCCTTATTTATTTCTCTTGTCTGATTGCTTTAGCTAGGATTTACAGTAGTATGTTGAATAACAGCTGTGACAGTGGGCATCCTTGTTGTGTTCCAGATCACGAAGAAAGGCTTTCATTTTTTCTCTATTGAGTATGACACTAGCTGTGAGTCTGTTTTATATGGATTTTATTATGTGGGTGTTCGTTCTTTCTAGTCCCAATTTTTTTGTGGGTTTTTATCGTGAAGGGATGTTGGATTTTATCAAATGCTTTTTCAGCATCCCTTGAAATAATCATATGGTTTTTATCTTTCATTCTGTTAATATGATGTATCACACTGTTTGATTTGCATATGTTGACATATACTTGCATCACAGGGATAAATCCCAGTTGGTGATGATGAATGATCTTTCCAATATAGTTTTGAATTTGGTTTGCTAGTATTTTGTTGAGGATTTTGCATTAATATTCATGAAAAGTATTGGCCTGTAATTTTTTTCTCCTCCTCTGTTTTTTTGGAATAATTTGAGTAGAATTGATATTAGGAGTTCTTTAAATGTTTGGTAGAATGAATCATTGAAGCCATCAGGTCCTGACCTTTTCTTTACTGGGAAACTTTGTATTACAGCTTCAATTTCCTTACTTGTTATTGGTCTGTTCAGGTTTTGGATTTCTTCCTAATTAAATATTGGTAGGTTGTATGTATCTAGGAATTTGTCAATCCATTCTATATTTTCCAATTTATTTGCATATACTTGCTCATAGGGGCCACTAATGATCCTCTGAATTTCTGCAGTATCAGTTGTAATGTCTCCTTTTTCATATCTGATTTTATTTGGATTTTCTTTGTTTTTTCTTAGTCTGGCTAAAGTTTTACCAATTTTGTTTAGCTTTTCAGAAAACCAATTTTTTTCATTGATATTTTGTATTTTTTAAAATTTCACTTTCATTTATTTCTGCTCTGAGCTTCATTATTTTATTTTTCTTTTACTAATTTGGGGTTTGGTTTGCTCTTGCTTTTCTAATTCTTTAAGATTTTTAGTTAGACTGTTTATTTGTATTTTTTCCTCCTTTTTGATGTAGACACTTAAAGCTATAAACTTACCTCTTAGTACTTCTTTTGCTGTATCCCATAGGTTTTGGAGTGTTGTGTTTCCGTTATAATTTGTTTCAAGAAAATTTGCAATTTCCTTATTAATTTCTTCACTGACCCACTGGTCATTCAAGAGCATATTTTTTAATTTCAGTGTTTTTGTATAGTTTCCAAAATTCCTCTTGTTCTTAATTTCTAGTTTTCTTCCATTGTGGTTAGAGAAGATGCTTAATATTATTTCAATGTTTCTGAATGTTTTTAAGACTTGTTTTGTGACCTAACATATGGTCGATCCTTGAGAATGATCCATGTGCTTAGGAAAAGATTTTGTATTCTGCAGCTCTTGGATGAAATATCCTGTAAATATCAATTAGATTAATTTCGTCTGTAGCGCAGATGAAGTCTGATTTTTTTTATTGATTTTCTGTCTGGAAGATCTGTCCAATGCTGAAAGTGATATGTTGAAGTCTCCAACTATTATTGTGTCAGGGTCTATCTCTCTCTCTTTAGCTCTAATAATATTTCCTTTGCATAGCAATCAAGCAAGACCCCCATCTCAAAAAAAAAAAAAAAGAAAGAAAAAGAAAAGAAAAGAAAAAAAAGCAACAGCAGCCATGAGGATATTTGGAAGAAAATTTGACACATGAGTGCTGTTGGTAATAACTTTGTAAAAATTACACAAGCCATGGAGCATGTTGTTATGACAATTCCAGACTGAAATATGAGCGTAAGACAACATAGTTATATCAACTGTGACAAGCTTCCAATTTGCTGTTATTACATTGAATTTCACGTGCTTGCATTAACATCAGAAATACAGTATAATATATATTAGATACACACATACACAGATAGTTTTACCACCCCCCTCCTAAAAAAAAGGAGAAATGGAAAGGCATTTCTATATAAACAATAAAATAACAAAAGCAACATAATAAACCAAAGTACTTGTAAAGCCACAACATAAGCAAGGATTGATGTCCCCCAATACACAGGACTGATATGGTTCTGTAAAGTTGCAGCTGATGCTAATAGCATGGCTTGGAAGCAGTCATAATCCAGAATGCATACAAAGGCATAAGAAATTCTCATTCTGAAAGTGAGTGCTTAACCCAGAAACATAGATTACCCAAGGAAGCACAATGCCATTGGTAGAAACACTCCAGTAAGTGTTAACACTCATACTGGCACACTAGGAATACTAGAGTACTCTATACTGACTTAAATACATTTAATACCCTCAATAAACAAAGGGATCAAGTTCATTGTATTGGTTATTAGTTAGAAATTACGAAAAAAAAATGAACCAGGGAACAATAAGTAGACATTTATGAAGAATAACTATTGTGGTATTTTGAAAAAAAATGTGTTGAAATACAGTAAAAATATTAACACAAGTTTTTTGCTGAATAAACACAGCCAAAAAATAAGTTAGTAGGCAGAAAGGTCAGGTGTAGCAGTATTCTGAAACAGATTTTAAAATATATATAAAAAAGGGAAGCCATGAAAGAGAAGACTGGAAAAATATATAGATCACCTTAATTTTTTAACTAAGATTTCTGAATGAAAGGGTTGAAAACTGATGGGTCCAAAATAATTGAAAAAATCATAAATAAAAATTTTCCAGAATTGAAAGTACGTATGGATCCTGATATTGGAATAACTCTTTTGGTATATAGCAGGGCAAATGAAAAAATGAAACTTGTCCAGAATCTTGTAGTTTCAATTTTGAGTCACAGATAAGAAGAAATTTCTAGAAGTTAACCACAGTACACTTTCAAATTCCCCTAGAGAGTGGTTAAAAATTCTCAACAAATGTGTCAATATTTTCCAAGTATGAAATTTTGGGCGATTAATATACATGATGGCTGGTGTTGGTGCTCTTACTTTTTTCTGTTTCTTTCAGAGTAGAAAGTAATGTTTAACTACATTAATCCTATTTAAGATTTCTTTTCAATCATTATTTAAAACTGCTATAGCAATTAAAGGATGTTTTACTGTTTGGTATTATGTCATAGATTTGAAAATTATTGCTGTAAAATATCATCAGTGTTTTAATGAATGGAGAGCATCGTCTATGTGTATTCTGAATTCTTAGTCTTGCTGCCCACATGTATTAAATTGTATGAGCTATTGAGAAGAGAAGAATCTCATAAGTAAACAGGAAAACCAGGATAATATTCCTATAAGCACTCTGATACTATTTTTCTCCTTGCTACAAAATGTCTTTTTCTACTTTTTAAAGTGATTCATATTTATTTTTTATGAAATTATCTATCTTTGAATCTATATAGTCTATCAATATATTTGAATATACAAAATCATCTCTGTGGCTACTGTTTTATATAATATCCCTCATTTTAATTCATATATTTTAAGTTACCTATGATTTAAAACAACTAATATTGGCATTGAATTTCAAAATCTACAGATTTTAGTGTCAGTTTAATGGAATATGCAAGCAGAGGTCAACGGCATGATCTTTTTATAAATATATATTTAAATAAACTATTATGTACGCTTATTTTACATAAGATTATATTCTCTGAAGTTCATGTGACAGCTTTCAAATGTAGCTAACATGGATTGTCTTTAGATGAAATTACATCTTCTTTGTAAGCTATCTGTTCCCTTTACCACGTATTTAACTACTAAGCATGGAGTAAAGGGGAAAAGATACGAGTCAGTGTCTAAGTCAAGGATATAAAATAAAATACCTCCTATCTCTGAAAAGCTTAGACTGCAAAATTTGTTGAGCAAATATGCATAGTGATTTAACAGTTTAACTTTTCTTCCCTCATATCAGAACATTCAGCTAATGTATTTACTATGAGAATTTCTACTGTTTTTATGAGTGGAAGATTGAGGTTAGGTTGAGGTACAAAATAAACTACCTAACAAAAAAATCCGCAAGCAAACAAAGAATTGTACTTATCTACTGCTCAAAATTTGGGAGGAAAAGAGATGTTATGTACCACAGTTAAAAATATATTTCTGTATATAGCCATGCCCAAGGGCAGTAACGATGTCTTATTTAAATTATTACCCCTGATGCCTACAACATATAATTTTGCTACACAGTTGAGTAAGCTGCCTATATAAACTAAGGTTTAAAGGAAAGTTCACAGATACTTAATAGAATTGATAGTTAAAGTACAAATAAGACTTTATATGCCTGGTTATTTTGTAATGTATCTACTCTAGAGTATTGGAATAAAAAACATGAAGGACATTGGCCTGCACTCTTCAAAACTATCAAGGTCATGAAAGACAGACCTCTTCCTGATTAAAGGAGACTTAATAGATACAATACCTAAATGCATATGATTTGGATCCTAAACAAGGAAAACAAAAAGATTTTTTGTTGTTGTTATTCTATTTTTTTTTTTTTTTTTGATATGGAGTCTCGCTCTGTCGCCCAGGCTGGAGTGCAGTGGCGCGATCTTGGCTCACTGCGAGCTCCACCTCCGGGGTTCACGCCATTCTCCTGCCTCAGCCTCCCGAGTAGCTGGGACTACAGGCGCCCACCACCACGCCCAGCTAATTTTCTGCATTTTTAGTAGAGACAAGGTTTCACTGTGTTAGCCAGGATGGTCTCCATCTCCTGACCTTGTGATCTGCCTGCCTTGGCCTCCCAAAGTGCTGGGATTACAGGCATGAGCCACCGTGCCCGGCGTGTTGTTGTTATTCTTTTGCAATAATGGACATGAAATTAATTGGTGAAATCTGAAAAAGTTTTTAGATCTAAATAATAATAGTGTATCAAAGTTAATTTCCTGATTTTGATAATGTCCTATGACAAGCTTGTCCAACCTGCCACCCTCCAGCCACGTGCAGCTCAGGATGACTTTGAATGCGGCCCAACACAAATTTTTAAATTTTCTTAAAACCTTATGAGTTTTTTTTTTTTTTGAGACTCGTCAGCTATCATTAGTGTTAGTGTATTTTATATGTGGCCCAAGACAATTCTTCTTCCAGTGTGGCCCAGGGAAGCCAAAAGATTGGACACCCCTGTTATGGCTAAGTGAAAGAATTTCCTTGGTTTTTTTTAAAAAAAGGAAGCACTGCAACATTTAGAAATAAAAGGCATCATGTCTGCAACGTAAGAGTACACAGGAGAAGACGTAGTAACAGATTAACATTTGAAGAATCTAGGTGAATATTATACAAGAATCGTTTGCTCTATAATTGCAGCAGTTATGTAAATTTGAATTTTTTGAAGGTGATGAATTAAGATACAGACTAAAAGCACACTTCCAAAATGGCAATAACTTATAGGTGAGTTCAGTGAATTGGCAGGGAAGGGAACAATAGAAAGACAGCTTGGAAGATTTTCAATAGCAGCTGTCCATTTAGTAGAACAAATCAGCAGTTCCTGCTTTTTTCTCAATGCTGTGGCATTGTTTTCACTGGGGCTTTAAAGGGAAGTGGCTGCATGCCAGTTTCTGTGTTCTCATCCAGCTGTTCAGACACTAAAATGACTTAAGTAACAAAGGCTGAAGTTTGAGAAGCCATGCAGTTTGCCTCCAAGACAAGTGAACATGTTAACAGAATATTTACAAATTTATTTAAAATGGCAATCATTGGTCCTGAGAGATAGGGAAGAAAGCGTTCTTACTTAACTAAGAAAATGATCAGTAGGTGAAATATCCAAGAGGTGTTTCTTAATACATCTCTATTCTGCTCCTATTTTATCCTGTTATACTGCAGTTCCCTGAATTCTCAAACTCAGAATTTGACAAAGTAGAAAAAAATTAAGTGAATTTACTTGATGTTTTGAAAACAAAACACAAACAGCTTTGCCTAGTACATGTATAAAGTTATTACATAGTCGCTATAGATTGACTTTCCACCTTTCAAAATAATAGACAACAAAAATGAATCTGAATTTGTAAAGCACATTTAACCTCCTCAAGCTCTTGAAATAAAGTTATTCATTAGCAATATCTCAATGATTAAATTCAGGATAACATGGGATTTTTTGAAAAAGTGTGAAAGCAAATAGAAGCATTTAATAGCTGGTTTACTATTTTGTGTTCTGTGGAAGATTATGTTTCAATTTAATAAATAATGAAAAAGAACATTTCCTTCCTATTTTTAAGTAAAAATATGAGTTGTATTCGAGCATGGTTGTGGTGCACTTCTTTTGGAGACTTACTTAGTTATTTAACTTGTAAATATCCAGGAAATCTGAAAAACTAAAATAAACCAAATATTTTCATTATAAGTAGCATACCATTTGAATATTTAAAGTATGCTACAAAAATAACACGTAAGGTGTACACTTCTTGTTAAGAAGATTAAAAAAAGCAATGCTTATAGTCTTCCAACTCACTCATCATGGGGCTTCATTATTTGAATTTATTCAAAGAGTAAACAAGCAAAACCTCTCAAATCTCATTCTGCATAAATCTGATAATGGTTCTGACCAATTAAAACTTAGGTGACCAAAATAGATCATCTGTACTTTATTATGTGGAGCACTTCACAGAATAATTATTTGAAGGATAAATAAAAGTTAACTACTCTCCATTTTCAAAGCTAGCAAAAACCAGTTCCATTGTATGTTTTCAATTAAGCAACACAATTTACCAGAACCCAAGGATTTTTATAAGCAGTTTATCTACCCCTAATAATGGACTAGACAGTAAAGTAACTTGATCTCTGCCTTTTGTTTTTTTTCTTGGCCAAGGAGGTGATGGTAAGTAACTCTATTTGCAGTGGTGTGAGAGCCCTCTTTTTTCTACTGTAATGCAGTGATTTTTGACTTCACATTATTCCTACATGATACCTTCCATGCTATTCTAATGTCTATATATAATTTTCTGTAAACTACTTTATCATAGACTGTATCATATGAGGCATTTACGAATTATTTCAAGCTTCAATTCTATGGACGGTCACTTCTAATGGAAAATCCACAGTCCAGGATGGTCTATCTGGTGTTTTATAAAAAAATTCACACTCCAGAGGTGGCTACCACAAGCCCCTGTGCTATCTGTATCTCCACCAGTACCAAGCATTTTGCTGAATTTCATCCTAAATGTCAAAAGGAGTTTTAATCAATTAAATTAAAAATTTTATAATTGGCATGATTACTTTCATTGGTGAAATTACAATTTTTCTTATTATTTAGTTTGGTTATAATATTTTTAAGATATCTCCACTGTTAAAATGAATAAGATATAATAATGTAGGAAGGATCATACAAATAATGTGATTCAGTAATTCTACTACTGGGTATATATCCAAAGGATTTGAAGTCAGGATCTTAAAGAGATCCCCGCTACCCTATGTATAATGCAGCATTATTCATAATAGCCAAGATATAGAATCAACCTAAGTGTCTGTGTATATATGAATGCATAAAGAAAATGTGGTGTATTTACATAAAGTAATACTATTTACTTTAAAAAAGATGGAAATCCTGTCATTTGCAACAACGTATATTAACCTGGAGACATTATGCTAAGTTATATAAGCCAGACACAGAAAAACAAATACTGTATGATCTTATATATGGAATCTAAAAATGTTGAATTCATAGAAGGAAACAATAGAGTGGTGATTACCAGACCTGGGACTTGGGGAGATTGGAGAGAGATATTGGTCAAAGGATACAAAATTTTAGTTAGATAGTAGGAAGTTCAAGAGACCCATGGTACAGCATGGTGACTACAATTAATAACAATATACTGTATGCTGGAAAATTGCTAAGATATTTGGTGTTCTCACCACAAAAACGAAGGATAAGTATGTGAGGTAGTGGATATATTAATTAGTTTCATTTAGTCATTCCACAATGTATACATATGACAAAACATATTGTACACCATAAATATATGCGATTTTTGTCAAGTTATCATTAGAAAAAGAAAGCCCTGTATATGTTTAGCATAAGGCATGTTCAGAAAACAACTGAAAAGTCTCCAAACTTTCACCTCAGGCTGAGGCCTAGGCTCATTGCAATCCTGGATATGTGTTAAGGAAGAGCACCAGCACAGGGACAATCTGCAAATACTGGGAGGGTAATATTGTTTGTTGTTGTTGGTGGTGGTGGTGGGGTGTGTATGTGTGTGTGTGTATTTTGTTGTCATTTTTATAAACTTATATTCAAGAAAATCTCTGTCAAAACTCTAGCTGAACAGAGACTTCGGTGATGACTTATGACAAGGAACACATGGATGCATACACTGGTCCCTGAAATAGTTGAGTATTATAGCCTTCAACAATAATAACATCAAAACAATAAACCCTGGAAAGGAGGGGAATTTGATTCCACAGTTATCACATTATAATACTTAAGTGCCCATTTTCAACAAGAAAATAACAAAGCATACAAAGAAAATGAAAAACATGACCCATACAAAGAAACAAAATGAATTAACAGAAACCATCTCTGAGTAAGCACAGAAATTGGACTTATTAGACAAAGACTTTTAAAATGTCTTAAATATATTCAAAGTCTTAAAGGAAAACATGGACAAACATGTAATGAAACTTCGGAGAATAACGTATGAACAATATGAGATTAGCAATTAGAAGATAGAAATTTTTAAAAAATAAGCAAACAAATTGTAGAACTGAAAAGCTCAATAGCTACAATGAAAAAACACTAGAGGCACTCAAAAGTAGATGTGAGTAGAAATAAGACAGAATCAGCAAACTTGAAGATAGGTTAATTGAAATTATGCAGTCTGTAGAGTGAAATGAAAAAAGAAATGAAGAAAAGTGTACAAAGGCTAAGGAACCTGTGGAACACTGTCAAGTGGACCAACATATGCATTATGAAATTCTAAAAAAGGGTAAAAGAGGAAGATATAAAGGGGCAGAAAGAATATTTGAAAAAATCATAGTCAAAAACTTTCCAAATTTGTTGATAGATCTAGCTTCATAGTCAAAACCCAAACTTCACTGAGAATTAAAACTTTTCCCCTTTTCTGCTTGTATCAGTCTCAAAAAAAAAAAAGCCACATTGCAATATATGTCCCTTTATCCTTTTTGTTCATTCCTTTCTTTTTTTAAGCTACACAGAGCACTTCTTTTCCCTTAACTCACAGGATATATTTGCTGAACCTTTTAGGTTTAGGCTCACAAATAGAAGGGATTAAAAGGGAAAGGGCATATGTTTTCTAGTTTGGCTTTTGGCAGATATACTAAGTTGGCATATTTTCTCATAGGGTGTTTTAATTAATGTGAACTTGTGAGAGATTCCCCTGCTGGGAATCTTCAGTTGAAATTCCTACAAGGTGAACTTTTTTTTTTCTTCAATAAGCTTTTTACTACTCCAGCCATAAATTTTGAGCATTCAGCAGTCCACCCCTTTATATATTTTTAATTGAATTATTTGGGAGTTTTATTGCTATTGAGTTATTTGTGTTCCTTATATATTCTGTATATTAACCCATTGTCAAATGCATAGTTTGCAAATACTGTCCTTTATTTTTGTACATTATCTCTTCACTTTGTTGATTGCTTCCTATGCTGTGCAGAACCTTTTTAGTTTGATGTAATCCTATTTGTCTGTTTTTGCTTTTGTTGCTGGTGTTATTGAGGTCTTATTGAAAAAATATCCTTCCCAGACCAATGTTGTGAAGCATTTCCTCTATGTTGTCTTCTAGTAGTTTTGTAGTTTTAGACCTTAAATTTCAGCATTTAGCTCACTTGAGTTGATTTCTGTATACAGTGAGAAATAAGGATCTAGTTTCATTCTCCTGCATGTGAATATTCAGCTTTACCAGGACCATTTATTGAAGAGACCCTTCTTTCACCAATGTGAGTTCTTGGTGCCTTTTTTAAAGAATCATTTAGATATAAATATGTTAATTTATTGCTGTGTTCTCCATTTCGTTCCATTCATCTATATGTCTGTTTTTAAAGCAGTGCCATACTATTATGTTACTATAGCTTTGTAGTATATTTTGAAGCTAGATGGTGTGATACCTCTAAGCTTTGTTCTTGCTTAAGATTGCTTTGGCTATTCAGGGTATTTTATGGTTCCACGCACATTTCAGGATTTTTTTTTTTTATTTCTGTGAGGAATGTCATAGTTATTTTCATAGGGATTGCATTAAATCTGTATATTGCTTTGGGTATTTGGACATTTTAACAATATTAGTTCTTCTATTCCATGAACATGTAATATCTTTCTATTTATTTGTGTTCTCTTACATTTCTGGCATCAATGCTTTATACTTTTCATTGTAAAGATCTTTCACTTCCTTGGTTAAATTTATTACTAAGAATCTTATTTTTTGTAGCTATTGTAAATTGGATTCCTTTCTTGATTTTTTTCAGATAGTTTGCTATTGGCTTATAGAAATGCTATTGATTTTTGTATGTTTATCTTCTATTCTGCAACTTACTGAGTTTATTAAGTCTAACAGTTGTTTTCTGTACAGTCTTTAGGATTTTCTATATATAAGATTATGCCAACTGCAAACAAGGCAATTCTACTTCTTGCTTTCCAATTTGAATTGTCTTTATTTATTTCTCATTCCTAAGTGCACTGGCTAGGACTTCCAGAGGCATGCTGAATAATAGTGATAAAAGCGGACATTTTGTCTTGTTCCATATCTTAGAGAGAAAGCTTTCAAATTTTCCCTGTTTAGTGCAATGTTGGTTGTCTGTTGTTGTATATGACCTTCATTGTGTTGACATACATTCCTTTTATACCTAATTTGTTGAGAGTTTTTATCATGAAGGGATATGGAATTTAGTCAAATGCTTTTTCTGTGCCTATTGAAATAATCATAAGGTTCTTGTCTTTGATTATTGTAATGTGATGTATCATATTCGTTAATTTTCTTTAGTGGTTGTTGACCATTTTGACTTTTAATTATCATACTAGACATCTGAAAGATTGTATATCAGCATTCGAGTAATGAAGTATTCTGAATTTTACAATGAATTTACCCATAAAAGTGAGGTGTATACTTTCATATGTTTGCGTGATAGTAATTATTGTCTTTTTGCTCCCACTTTTGACATTCCATTTAGCATTTTTTGTAAGGCTTATTTAGTAGTGATGACTATTTTTCCTTCATTTCTGAAGGAAAGCTTTGTTGGGCATACCATGCTAGCCAGGCAATTTTTTTTTCCCCAGTACCTTTAATATAGCATCCCATTCTTTCCTGGCCTGCAAGGTTTCTGCTGAGAAATCTGCTGATAGTCTAAGGGGAATTTTCTTATATGTGACTTGACACTTTACTCTTGCTGTTTTTTAGAATTTTTTCTTTGACTTTTGACAACGTTATTATAATATGCCTTGGAGAGGGCTTCTTTGACTTGAATTTATTTCAAATCTTTTGAGCTTCGTGAATCTGGATGTCCATATCTCTCCCAAATCTTGGGTAGTTTTTAGGTATTGTTTTGTTAAATAGTCTTTCTGTGCACTTCTTCATCTCTTCTCCCTTTAAACTCCAAAGATGCAAATATTTGATTGCTTAATAACGTTCCACACATCCTGTAGGCTTTATTTGCTCCTTTTGATTGTTTTTTTTTCTTTCTTGCTGACTGGCTTATTTGAAAAGACTTGTCTTCAAGTTCAGAAACTCATTATTTTGCTTGATACAGTCTGCTCTTGAAAGTCTCAATTGTATATTTTAGTTCATTCATTGAATTCTTTAGCTCTAGTATTCCTGTTTGTTTCTTTTTTGGTCATAGCTGTCTCTTTGTTGAATTTCTCTTTTGGATCCCAAACTGTTCATCTAATTTAGTTTGTCTGTCTGTATTATCTTTTATCGTAAATTTCCTTGGGTCATTATTTTGAATTCCTTTTTAGGAAACTCATAAATGTTTATTTTTGGAGGGTCAATTATAGGAAATGTATTGTGTTTCTTTAGTAGTGTCCTATTCGCTTTCTTTTTTATGTTTCCTGTATCACTGTGTTGATATCTGTGCATCTGATGGAACAGTAACCACTTCCAGTCTCATACAGTGTCTTTCATGGGGAAAGACTCACCTGCCCATGTGTTGTAGGGTGTTGGTTGAGCAGGGTATTTTGGATTTGCTTCTGGGTGAATGCCGTAATGTGGTCTCCATCCAGTTTCTTCAGCTATAGGCAACATCAGTGATGCCTGAGTGTGCCTCAGTGTGCCTCAGTGGTTCATGCTGTAACAGTGTTTGTGGCTGGTCTACCTACTCAGTTACTGCTCCTTGATAGTGGGGCACTGGTATAGTCTGTGTTTTGGGGATATTTAGGGCTGGTCAACTTGTGACTTGGGCTTTGCTTCACTAGGGGCTGGACAGTGGGCTGGTCCATGCTGTGGGGTAGCATGGGGCTGGATATCTGATGGCTCTGCTCAGGAGTTGTTCCCCTTAAGGTAGGGTACGAAGCTGGTCCATATTCTGGAAAAACATGAAACTGGTTGACTGGCAGCTTGGATTGAGATCTGCTTTCCTGAAGGCAAAGTTCCAAGCTGATCCATGCTTAAAGGAAGTGCAAGGATGGCTGGCAAGCAGCTCAGCTCAGTCGCTGCTCCCCTGAGGGTGGAGTGATGGGGTCATGGTTGTTCCACTGGATATAGATTTCAAGTAGGTTGGGTTGGGGTGCTATAGCCCCTGAAGTAAGGAAGGTACTGTACCTCCTAGGCAGCTTTTTCCTAGGAGTAGAAAGCTGTAACAGCTCAGCTGGGTAATGCTGCGCTATTGTGTGCAAGCATGGCGTAATGGAGGTGGAGCCTCAAAGATGGAAAGATGCAGTAGCTACTGGTCCCCGGAAAGGACATATTTTATTACTGACTCTGGTTTAGGGATGGCATCTTGCAGTAGGGGTTTGGGTAATGTGGGGAAAAGGGCATGATGTTAGCTCCTTTTCTGGAGCAATCCAGCTGTGTGAACTCCTGAAAGCTCCCAAAACTGGATGGAGAGCCTGAGAAAACTGCAAGATTCTCCAGCAGCAAAACCTACAGGTGTCTACAGCATTGATGAGGAGTGCTGAGGGCCTTCTGTTTACTTTCTCCCGACATGGGAAAGTCCCTCCTGGTTCTGAGCTGATCCTAACTGGAGAGGTGGCATGGCAATGTCAAGATGTCTCACTCCTTTCTTTATGTGGCAATCTTGAGTGTCTGTGTTCCACAGAATTTCTGCCAGTCTCCTGCTGTACTTTAGCATTCTCATTCAAATACTCTTGTCAAACTATAGTTGTTTATTTGTCGTTTTTGTCCTTTTGTGTGGTGGGTGACAAGCACCAAGCACCGAGCACCTCTAGTCAGCCATCTTTCTGACATCGCTCTCTTAATATCTCTTATTGTCTCATTTGAAATCTGTTTTACCAATACATTTCCCATTACATGTCACCAGTAATTATACTTTGACAGATACCAATGCTGATTAAAGGCAAAGTAAAACTGAAGAAATATTTCATTACCTGAATGAAAAAAAAATCACACTCCTCTATGTTATGTCACAGTTAACTAAAACTAAATACTAATAGTCCTGAGTACTATAGTAGGTACATGAGCCACATATTTTACTATTTATACTATGGTTTGTATTAAATTTAAATGTTCTTTGAGTTCAGTATTTTTAAAAAGTAGAAAGGAATTCAAAGATCTCAAACCAGTGGTACAGCCTCAGCTAAGGCACACAGAATGTTTCTCCAGGTAATATGTCTCTAAGCATGAGCTATCAATAGCTTTTCTATTTGTATTCCAATTATAAGGAGCTTCTTGAACTGGAATTTTCAGAGAAGCCATGAAAATGTACTAGTTTAGAGACTCTATGAAAGGAAATAATTCTGATGTAATTTTTATATAATAATTTCTAATATGCATTGTACATTAGGTACAACATTTTCTTCTCTATTTTTCTTTATTTGACAAGAAGAAAATTAAAGGTCAGTATTTTTGATATTTTTCTTTTCTCTTTTTTTATCATTCTACAAAAGATGCTAAAGTTAGTCTATCAGTCTGAAGACCAATTGTATTTGAAGCTAACCTATATAGCAAGATTAATTTTTTCTGTCAGTGGTTTTCTGTCACTAAGCAAATGGTCCAAAATGAGCCACTTGACTAACTAACATTAACATGTAATTGTCTAGAAATCTAAATAGTATACTACTCGTATTCAAGAAAAAAATACATTTGGAGGATTCCTGTCACTTTTTTTTTTTTTTTTTGATGATTCAGGGAAAGTACCCATGAAATTTAGATTTGGGGAAGGGCATAGGGGAACATAGTATAATTGCAGTCTACTTTTACTCACCAGTACTTCAAGAGTAACATTCTATCCCATTTTTACTAAACCATTATATGTTGAAATAAGATTCATTTCAGATGTCATTTTGCAAAATTCCTGTTAAGATTTAAGCACTGGAAAAAAATTTTTTAAACTAGTGCAATTACTTTCTTTTCAGCTACAGATTTTCTTGACATGACTAGCCACAACTGTCTAATATTTTTTATATTTTAATAAACACTGTATAAGAGGAAACACAAATTTTCTCCAATGAATGCCTATCAACACACATATAATAACTAATTTTCTTGACAGGCTTAACAACGGATAATGTATTACTATTTAGCAACCAATTCTAGTAGACAGATTTGAAAAACAAATAAGCTGTTGTCTAGTTCTATTTCAATATATATACTCATTGCTAATTTAAATGTAGACAAAATCTTACTCAGTCCTCTCTATAAGTCAAGCTTTATCTTGCAGGCAAATGTAGTCAGATATGTAATTTGCTTGTCAGCTATTGCCATGTGTTCAGAAATGGAGTTATTTTTAACATTTTAAAACAAACTTAGATTCTTAACCCAATTAATATTATGTCTGAACCTAAAATTACCAAATTATGTTGGCCTCCATACCCATTCTGTGCACATACATACACAAACACACTCATAGATCATTTATATCTACTAAAGCATTTGTTTTTCATTTTGCTGTATATAGATAATTTCACAAAAAGTAAAGCAAAATCTTGAGAGTTTTAGGAAAGGCAGAGCCATCTACTGCCTTCACCTGCCATACACAAATATTAATTCAACTATGGTTTTGAGAATATAAACACTAGAAAAGCTGATATAATATAAAAAGTTTACAGCATGTCAACCACTGTGAACAAGACATTTAGGTCATTTTTAAACAGTTACTTATCCCCCCAATCATGTGAACAATACAGCTTCTGAATTAACCACCTAGCATTTTAGGAAAACCAGAAGGAGAACATCAGCCATCTTTTTATCTCCCTGTGGTAGGCAGGAAGAATAACCCTCCCCCTTAAAAAAAGTCTATGCCCAAATCAAGAAAACCTGTAAATATGTTGTCTTAATTGGCAAAAAGAAACTTTGAAGACATAATTAAAGTTAAGGAATTTGAGATGGGAAGTTATTCTTAATTATTCAAATGGGCCCAATAAAATCACATGAGTTCTTAATAGTGGAAGAGGAGGGTAGAATTGTTGATGTGGGTCGGAGAGACTGGGTGATGGAAGAAGAGGTAGAGGTGATTTGAAACGTGTGGAAGACTCCACTTACTGTTTCTGTCTTTGAAGATGAAGAAAGGAGGCAGTCTTAGTCTGTTCAGGCTGCTATAACAAAATACCATAAACTGAATTATTATAAACAATAGAAATTTATCACAGTTGTGGAGGCTAGGAAGTCCAAGATCAAAGTCCTAGCAAATTCAGTGTCTGGACTCACTGTCTGGCTCATAGATGGCACTTTGTTGAAGTGTCCTCACATGTCAGAAGGGGCAAGGAGCTTCTTTGGGGCTCTTTTATAAGGGCACTAATCTCATTCATGATGCCTCTGCCCTTGTGATCTAATCAGTTACCTCACAAGGGCCCTACCTCCTAACACCATCACCTTGAAGGTTAGGATTTCAATATGTAAATTTTGGGGAGACATAAACATTCAGACCATGGTATGGGCTATGTGCCAAGGAATGTGGACAGCCTCTAGAAGCTAAGAATGACCCTCAGCTGAAAACCACCAAGGGAAAGGAGACCTCTCTTCTAAAACTGCCTGGAACTGAATTCTGCCAACAACCTGAATGAACAAGAAAATAGATTCTCCCTTAGCGACACCAGGAAGAAATGCAGCCCTGATGACACCTAGAGTTTAGCATAGTGCAACCAATGTCAGACTTTCAACCTACAGAGCTGAAAGATACATTTGTGCTGTTTTCAGTCTCTAAGTTTGTGGCAGCAATAGAAAATGAATACACTCTTCTTACAAATTTTGTCTGCATATTTTTATTGGAGTGGGTTTATTTTAAAACAAGATAGGACTTGTGAGTTTAAACTAAAGATTCTTAGAACATTCTGGAATGATATTTATTTTTATGAAATAATTTCTAGTTTAAACACATGAAATTGATTTTAGCTTGCATTCTAAGTCATCTGAGATTTGAAGGATGTTCCATGTCTTAGTCTTATTTATTGGGGCAACTTTGCAATTCCAAAAATTATATACACAAAATGAACTCCTCTTGTTTCTGTGTCACTTTAACTAGAGGGTCTATGTGCAAGACAAAATACCAATCCTTCAGATTTATTTATTTATTTTTAGACGGAGTCTTGTTACATCGCCAGGCTGGAGTGCAGTGGCGTGATCTCGGCTCGCTGCAACCTCTGCCTCCCGGGTTCAAGTGATCCTCCTGCCTCAGCTTCCCAAGTAGCTGGGATTACAGGCACGGGCCACCATGCCCAGCTAATTTTTGTATTTTTAGTAGAGACGGGATTTCACCATGTTGGCCAGGATGGTCTCGATCTCCTGACCTCATGATCTGCCCGCCTCGGCCTCCCAAAGTGCTGGGATTACAGGCATGAGCCACCGTGCCCAGTCCATATTTATTTTTATACTCAAGCTTTCCCTTTACAAACTTTACCCAAATTACAGTGATAATGCCAGTTACTTTTTCATAAGAAACAGGGCATCTGCAACATTGATTATCAAGTGGTTCTGAAATTCCCACTGCCCACACTTTGTTCTCTCAAGACTTTGAGCATCATAAACTAACTATAATATACATTCATCATGAAGAAAAGATTTACTTTTTACCCTTAAAAAATCACAACCTACCAGCCGGGCATAGTGGTTCACGCCTGTAATCCTAGCACTTTGGGAGGCCAAGGTGGGCAGATCACCTGAGGTCAGGAGTTCAAGACCAGCCTGGCCAACATGGCGAAACCCCGTCTCTACTAAAAATACAAAAATTAGCCGGGCATAGTGATGCATGCCTGTAATCCTAGCTACCTGGGAGGCTGAGGCAGGAGAATCGCTGGAACCCAGGAGGCAGAGGCAGCAGTTAGCCGAGATCGTGCCACTGCACTCCAGCCTGGGTGACAGAGCAAGACTGTCTCAAAAAAAAAAAAAAAAAAAAAAAACAAGCTACCATTTTCTTTGTCTGTTTCTGCCACAATGACTCAGTGTGCAAAGTAGTATGATTCACGGGAAGTCTAAACAATCTATTTCTTTGTAGACTACACACACACACACATATATATATATACACACACACACACATATTTACATATATGCATATGTGTGTATATATATATACATATATATATACACATACATATAAAGGTTGAGCTCAATAAAGAAAAAAAAAAATGCCAGTTAGCCATTGTGTGTGCTTTACTCGATTGAGAACTTTTTCTAACTGAGAATGAGCTTTTTCCAACTTAAACCTATTTGTAGGTTTGTGCCAAGTGAAAACAACCAGTATGAGCATAATTTTTTATTTGAATTTTCCTGTTACCTTTTAACTCACTTATACTGTTTATATTATATGAATTTTGTATCTGACCTCCTCATTTTGTTGGTAGTTGTATTCATTTGCCTTTCTATCTGTCCCCAAAATCACCGAACTCATTGAATGACAAAGAAAATGTTCTCAGTAGAAATGCTTGTTGACTCCTTGTGCTCAAAGAGCTGGAATTTAAGGAAAATAGACCTTGAGTTAAAAGACAACATTTCACGATGATTAAAAATGATAGAGACAGGTGTCAAACAAACTTAAAATACATATGCAATTAATTTGAGGTACAGTTAGTAGGGAACACTTGTTGAGAAATCTAAATTGGCAGGCCATCACTCTAAGCAGGAGAAATAACAAAAGAGGTCACTTGGGGAGATTCAGGAGACAACCCAGCCCTTTGTTAAGAACTGTCAGGGAATACAATTGAGTATGTATGGAGGGCAACAAGATGGAAAGTTATTCACAAGATATCTGAAAAACAAAATTGGTGTTTCTGAACAGGAGAAGAATGAGAGCAAAGAGAACTAACATTTATTCAGCAATTACTATAAGCCAGGCACTGTGGTATTTGTGTATGTTATCTGTTTAAATCCTACCATCAGTCCAGAAAATAATATTATCTCTATTTTTAGAAAAACAAACCAAGATTCATAGAAATTGAAGTCATATGAGCAGTTGATAGGGTTTAAACCTAGAACTGCCTGATCTCAGTGCATCTGCACTTGTTCTATAATATTGAGAGATTAAATTCTCCTTCAACACTTTTGAGCTATAATTCTGCAGAATATCAGTAAAGATATTTGAATTGTCCATATGAAATCATTCAACACTGAAGTTCTTAATTCCTTTTTAACAGTCCTTTTTAAAATCAGGTAACAAATTCTTAATTGTTTTTCAACTTCATGCCATCTCTATATATGAGTATTATTATTTGACTACTTTTAGGTCACATGGAATCTACACATGGAAGGACATAGGCATTGCATGCAGGTATCCGGAATCATTGATATTGGTCTTAAAATTTGGAAGTTTCCACTTTTGCTAAGGTATGTTTTCCTTAATGGTGGAGGTTTACTAATTGGGTGTACCTCCAGATCTAATTCTTTCATGTAATCCTCATATGATAGGAAGTAATGAGATGAATATCATTAGGCATTTTCAAATTTGAATTGAAACATATTACGATATGTTTATATTAGAGACTGGACAAAATTATCATTAAGATTCTAAGGTTCTACTTATCATTACCATGAATGGGTTTTAAACTGCTAACTAGTTAAAGAACTGTAAATGAAAAAAGAAAAAACAACTTTGATCACTCCTAGCTATCAAATTACCATATTTAAAAATGTCTAAAAGTCATTACTGTTGAAACTATGATTGTTTAGAGTTTAGACAGTTGTATACACTCAAGCAGGGAGTATAAAAAGGGTCGCTATTCTAGAAATCGTTAGCCTATACTTTAAAAAAATTATAGCCATTGATACTGTGATAAACTTTACCTGAAATCTGTTCATTTGTTTAAGTATAGACAACTTAATGTCTATATGTTAAGTAATGTCAGTGTTAAGTAATGTCTATACTTACAGAAATTAACAGATTTTAGGAAAAATTTATCAGTTATATTGATTATAGCTTAACTTGTATTAATTTTTTAAGATACAGACACAGTGGCCAAAATAAAGAAAAGGTCGATACATTTTATCCACAAAATGGGAATAAAATTACTTTTTTTTTTTGAGATGGAGTCTCGCTCTGTCACCCAGGCTGGAGTGCAGTGGTGTGATCTCCACTCACTGCAACCTCCACCTCCTGGCTTCAGGTGATTCGCCTGCCTCAGCCTCCAGAGTAGCTAAGATTACAGGCGTGTACCACCACACCCAACTTAATTTTTGTAATTTTTAGTAGAGATGGGGTTTCACCATGTTGCCCAGGCTGGTCTCTAACTCCTGGCCTCAAGTGATTCACCCGACTTGGCTTCCCAAAGTGCTGGGATTAAAGGCATGAGCCACAGTGCCTGGCCAATAACATTACATTTAAATCCAATTTAAAATGTTTCTATTCTTTAGCATGATTGCAATATAATATTAGATAAAATACATAATAAAGTTAATAAAATCTCTAAGAGAAATGACTGAGAAGAAATTGTTAAAAGTATTAACAATAATTAACTGAGAAATCATGGGTTATGAGTGATTTTTAACTTTTGATTATAACTTTGGATTTCTCTATGATAATCAGATATTGCTTTTACCAAAGCAAAAAGTTTATTAATTGCCAATTGTAGAAGCCAATTTGCCTGTATATTTTATAGACAAAGAGGATTTGTTTGTTTTCCTTGTTCTACATTACATTACCATGAGTTCTCTTAGAATTTTTAATTTACCACTTATTATTCCCACTGATAAAATAATTCAAGTTGAGTTTGAGTGTATTCATTCCTTTCCAATCTTGGTTTTGAGGTAATATGATTTTTTATTTACATACCATTTAATATCATTATTACCAATGTGTCATTTACATGAACTAATTTACTTAATTTTAAGTGTAAATGTCAATGAATTCTGTTAGATTGTATATCATTTTATTTGTGCTTGCTATTTTAATGCTCCAAGTTTAAAGTTAGAGTGTGAATAACATCCTCCCCCACCTTCACACTTACAATACTGAAGCCCATTAAAGCCCAGGTTAGGAGGATTTCCTGCTTCCTCCTCTCTTCTACTTTCCTTCTAACTCCATGAAATATTTAAGAATCCCCCCCTGAGGATCCTACAATTGTTAGGAATGTAGTCCTTTTTGTTTCCTCAGTCATCCCTGGGGCTCTAAATTGAGCAACTCAATCTTTATTTTGAAGCCAAAGACTTTCAATTGCCACCAAAATTTGCTTTGAAAGTAACCAGTGTTGGATAACAACCTGAAAACTTGGGAGCCCAGTGTGAAGCTAAGGGGCATAGGTAGCCAGCAATATTACTTCAGAGGTGGTATAGCTACATTACATTTAATAAAAACAGATCTTCAACATTCAGTTATTTTTAGATTCTATGATGTTAGTTTCCCATTTAAATTGTATCCTCATAACCAACCACCAACCTCCAATCCTCACAAAATCTTTCCTGATGGTCAATCATGGAGGGGGCGGACATAAAATAAAAATATAAATAAACAGGGTCGGGCTGGTAAGAGAAACCAGAAACTGAGAAGACAAAGTTAGAAACCAGTAATCAACATGAAAATGTAAGGTTCCAGGGGATTTTAAAATCTTTGGGAGAGTTTTGGGTTACACAGACTATGGAATGAAAATTGAAGAAAATTTATGCAGTTAGCAAAAGCTAAGGAGATTTGAAAAATGTGTTCTTTAGCACCTCAACAATTTCTGAAAAGGCCTGGAGTGAAGGTAATGTAAGTATTTTGCTGAGACTTTCAAAAACAAAACCAGGGAGATGGAAAGTATAACATAAAATAATATTGAGGAAAAACAACAACAAATTATTAGAAACTTAAACAAGAAATATAGTTTGGATGGCAAAATCTTCAAAAGGAACTGTATTCAACACAGCAGTACAAAGTCACAGGGATCCTGAGTACATAAGGTCAATCAGGAGGAAAAAGGGGGCTGTGGGTTAAGGCCAATAAAATAGAATTGTTTTTGAAGTGAAAGCCTCAAAGAAATTTTATTTACAAAGATTTTTATTACAGCAATATATTTAATGTAATATCATCGAGAGTCTCCTAAACTATGTTTTGAGACCTTAAACCTCTTTGAGCATTGCATTGTAATCTATGCTACTTTTCAAGAATATTACCACTGTCACCAGTGATTGAATATTAAACATTTCCTGTGTTTTTCTCTCTGTATATTTCTCCCCACTCTTCCTGCTCTTTACTTCTGTACTAACTTCTTAAAACTATAGTTAAGGGCCCACAAACTCAAATGCCGTCAGGGATGAAGCAGGCAAAGGCAAAATGAATGTATCACAAAAGTAGGTGATGGAGACTGTGAAAAGACAGTGTGTCTGGCTTTTTTTTTCTCTCTCTGTCAAACACACACACACACACACACACACACACACACACACACACACACACTTCTATAGTCTGAATCCATGGAGCACTGGTTTGTAACTCCAGGTGTAATTATAGTGGCCTCTGGAGTAAGACAAATAGGAAACCCACTTTCTACATTTGTAAGAAATGTTGACTTGGGCAAGTTATCTCACTTCTATAAGTCTACATTTCCTCTTTTGTAAACTGGGAATAATAATAATAATACATATATATAATATGTATAACAACAACAATATAATATATATATATTTTAAATATTTTAATCTCATTTTTCAAGATGGGGATTACTATAGCACTTTTTGTTAAGGAAATATTGAGAACACATTTCCATCTTCAGTCTTACTCCACTAATAATCTACTAAGTTATTTGAACCAGATTAGTTTTATAAATCTATTTTAAACATTTTTAATATTTAAATATAATATTTAGTTAATTATATTTGTTCCTAAGAATTCCAAAGTATAAATAATTTGATATTTTAACACAATTTATTTTCTTCTTTCATTTCATGTTCCTAGTACGAACTCTTATGAAAGGAAGTGACCACTTATGCTATTTTGACTTGATTCATTTAGCAAGGGAGAAGTTACAAATATGCTGTCCAAAAGATGTTTGTATGGAAACAGTTTCTCCCACTTCAGTCCCCAGATTAACAGGGAGGATTAGTGTTATTGACATTAATATTTATAAATACCATTTAGATGTTCCTCCCTCTTTTTACTCTTCTTTCAATTTTACATAGGGGATATGGGCTATGAAGTGGGCTTGTCCCATATCTGACCCTGAAGGCTTGAGAGAGATAGTATCCATTGAATGAAGAAAATGGCCTGATGAAAATATGTTGTACAAATAAGCACATTTTTAAAAGTATTTATTTACTCTTTATATTGTATTGGTATATAGTATGTTTTATACCAACAGTTATCTACTGAAAATGAAACCCTAGAATGTAAACATGATTTTGGCCTGTGAAATTCCCAGAAAGAAAATTTGGAATAGTATTTCAGAAAATCCTCTTATCAAATACTTCTGTAGATGACAAAAGTAACTTGGAGGGATCATCACACTCTAGTAAATTGTTAAAAGGGTTTTTTAAATTAATGTTAGTTGCTTGGTAGTGGCAGTGAATCAGGTGAACACGATTACAATTTTCCTTATATTTTAAACTGAAAATATTAAATGGGAAAAATAAAAATATGAGTCATTGAGGTAAATGCACAAACCAGTGCTCATGCATGTACACACGTACACACCTAAATTTTTAAAGGTCTTTTCACATCTTAATATCAGGAAACAAGATAAATATATAAGGGGATATCAACAAATTAATAATATAGAATCTTAATATAATGACATCTATCTAAAAGTTTTCAAGACAAAATAATTTCTATTTAAATAGTGAACGTAGTATTTACCTTTTGTCTTTAACCAGTCCTTTCGTGATAATAAATAGAACAAATACTGTGTCTTCACTGCATATTCAAGGTAGTCTAACTGCTATAAAAAAGAAAGTCAATAACTTAGCAAAATAATAATTAATTGTTCTTTGAAACAACAGCCCAATGTGTTTGTTTATGATCAACTGGCCCGGTTATCCAGTATTGAAAGTCCATCTGGGAGACACAGAAGGGTGAGAGCAGTGTAAGGGATGATAAATTATTTAATGGGGGCAATGTATACTATTTCAATGATGGTTAAACTAAATGCCTAGACTTCACCACTATACAATATATCCACGTATCAAAACGGCATTTGTAACCCCTTAATTTATAATTGAAAAAAAAAAGTTTATCTTGGGGAATACACATAGCTTCTCTTAACTGTCTTGGTCTGGGAATGACACATGGCATTTCTTTTTTTCTTTTTTGGTAATAGTTAAACCCATGGGCCTACCTAGTTGCAAGAAGCTGGTAATTATAGCTTAGCTGTATGCCCAGGGAGACCAAGAAAACCAGGTACTGATTAACATTTACAGTCTCTGTCATACCCATAAAGAAAATAATGAAGTGTTTCAGTTCATTTTTTTCTGGCTTTGCCATTTAATGCTCCTTAAAGGTGTCAATATGTTTCATATGAAGGTAAATGTAACAATGAAAACAAAGCATTACCAAGAAAAATAATAATTATCAAACATAACAATATTTCTCCTATAATTATAATACTTGTATTTCAAGATATGTAGTTCAGCCTTTGAAATTATGTAATTCTACTTGGATGGTAGTCATGAGCCTTGGCAGATTAGACCTGGGCATTTGGGACTGAACTAAATAGTTGGTCTTTACCTCAGTTCCAAAAAGTCAAAACGACATATGAAACAATGTTTGAGAATGTTGACTCTTTATTCTAACAGATTCATTACTCTAAGCTTGAGCTAACCCCCATGTATTAGGCAGCACATAGCATCTATTTATCCAGCTTCATTCAGCTCATATTATTTGACACAAAGTATCACAAGAATGTATTTTTCATAATTATATAGGACTTTCCCACTCTCCTGAAATACTTTTCTCTTCCTTTGTAGCAACATTATTTTCCAAGGAGGCCTCCTGAACATGTTCAGTGGCTCAAAAGATACAGTTTAAGATCAGGACTGTATATGAATGAATGCTATAGTGTTATCAAACCATTAACCTCTGAGCTAATATGATTATCTGTACTTGGGTTGGACAGGAGACATCTCCACCCCATCATTTACTTTGTATCAGAGATTGAATAAACATCTGGAACTCTGCCCAAATAGCAATGCACATGATGATCAATTAGTAGCACCATTTTTTTTTGTTGCACTGTATGCATAAACTACAAATGCCTCACACTGTTCCCATTACATCTTTTCATCTGCATATTGACCAACATAATCAATAAAGGTCTATTGGAGACTTTCTGTTTAGGATCCAGCTTTGGGAGTACAATTAATAATTCAAGATTTTCTAATGCATAGAAAATTGTCATTTATTACAATAGTCCCTCAGTTTTTCCCACGAACTGAGAAAATACACTGAATGTTTTCTGCCATCTTGGACCACATTAATCACAATGTCTTACCCAATCCTGAAAATCCAGTTTTAATGCCTGGTCCTCAGAACCATGATGTAAATGTTTTAGGTTATAAGAAAATGAAAAATTTGTCTAGCCCATTCAATAAGTACAGTAGTACCTAGTGCAGCATTATCTTGATTCACACTAAAGTCTAGTAGACTCAAAATGGTTAACTCAATATTGACAGAAGTGCTGAATGTTTCTATTAAGAAGGTCTTCTCTGACTCCTTCCGACTACTGTGGGTTTATCATTGAGCTCTCTTATATTTTTTCTCCAGATAAAGTAGAATCTGATTCATAGCAATATTGCATGGTATTGATGTGATCTATTAACAGTTAAAACTGGAAACAGTTCGCCTTGACAATGTCCTTTGAACTATTCAGTGGCACTCCGCTTTAACACACAAACTTCAGTTTGCAAATAAACTACAATATCTCTCTTTCGGACATACTTTCTGTGCAAAATTCCATAATCTTTTCACATAAATCCTCATGGTAAAGAGCAGCCCGACATCCTCAAGGATCTCATCAATATACAGGAAAAAAGAATAGATAGTAGCATCAAGTCCACAAACACTCTCAAACACAGCCTTTGCTTCAAGGATTCCAAAAAGTATTAAAGAAAATGGTTGCCTCTATTTCCCTTAATTTTGAGTTCATTTTAGATC
Organism: Homo sapiens; assembly: GCF_000001405.40. Classification (NCBI taxonomy): domain Eukaryota; kingdom Metazoa; phylum Chordata; class Mammalia; order Primates; family Hominidae; genus Homo; species Homo sapiens. Next base: position 33,860,443 of record NC_000023.11, read on the forward strand.
TTACTACCAGGCTGACTAAGCTCAGATCATAGAGGTTGGCAAGGTAGAAGTTATGTTTGACAAAAATGTTTTAATGTCTACTGAAGCAGACAAATTAAATAAACAAGTAATTGTATATGCTAGTAAGTGAAAAGAAGGAAGTACACCTTATGCTTTAATGGAGAGTACATTTATGTGCAGAGAAATTTAAAGAAGGTGGTCAGGATAGACTTAGCTGAAGAGGTCGTTGTGATCTGATATTTTAAGAAGAATATGAGCAATCTACGCGCAGTGTAGGCAAATAGTAATTCAAGCAGAGGGAATAGTAAGTATAAAAAGCTGGAAATGGAAATGGGCTTGCCGTGTTGAAAGAATAAACTTGAGTGATGTACTTCAAGCCTACTGAGCCATAGGAGAATAGTGGAAGATGTGTTTGGAGATGGAGGCTGAACCAGCGAATACAGATAAATTATGAAATATATTGTATTTCCTTTTGAATTAAATGAGAAACTACCAAATGTTTTATTAAAAGAATGTCATAACAGATATTTGTTTCAAGACATTACTGTGTTTGCTCCGTGAAGAATTAATCAGATAAGAGCAAGTGTAGAACCTTGGATGTCATTTTAATACTCTGTTAGATAATGGTTTCCAGAACATGTAAGTTTGCAGTGGAGATGGAGAAAAGTGAATGGATTTTAAATATATTTTGGAGTTAAAACTCATGGGACTTGCTGAGGAATTGAATATGAGATGTAAAGAGTAAGGGAAGAGGATGAATGAAGACTAATACCTAGTGTTTTTGTTTTGTTTCATGCGTTGGGTTATATTTTGGTAAAGTTGATTATGCTTGTGGAAAATAAGAAAAAATTGGGGGGAGAGTGTGTGTTGAAAGCTCTGCTTTTGATATTCTTTGAGATGTATAGTAAGCTTCCACACTGAAACATTCAGTAGGCCATTTGATGTATAAGTCTGAAACTCAAGAGTGTGGTATATAGGGGATACAAAAAATTCTCAAGTCATAAGAATGTAGATGGTATTTGAAACATGGATATTAAGTGTGATCACCTAGGCTGAGAGAGAACATAAAGAGGAGGGATGAGAGAATACCTGTGGAACTATTTTAATACTTAGTGTTTGGATAGAAGAAGCCAAAAATACATAGAACATCATGACCAGTGATTTACAAGTAAATGTGGTGGCAAAAATGCCAAAAAAGATTATTCAAAAAATAGAGGGTGAATTTTGGCAAAGGTAGCTGAGCAGTGGAATATCGTAAAAACAGAGAAAAATCCATTAGATTTTGGCAACAAGGAGGATGTTGATGACTTTGTACAGAACAGCTTATGTAGAATGGTGATATGTGTTATGCTAGAGTGAATTGACTGAAGGATGGCTTGAATATAAAAAAAATCCAATTGGATTAATGGCTTGTCTAAAATCAAAGGAAAATGCACAATTAAATCATTATTAACTATAGACACCCTGTTGTGTAACCACCCAACAGGTTCTCCTAGTCCACTACTCAGAAATGATTTATCAAGACAGGAGAACTGCAACAGAGAAAGAGTTTAATTCATGCAGAGCCGGCTGAATGGGAGAATGGAGTTTTATTGTTACATCAGTCTCCCTGATAATTCAGAGACTGTTTTTGTTTGTTTGTTTGTGGTGTGTGTGTGTGTGTGTGTGTGTGTGTGTGTGTGTGTGTGTGTGTGTGTGTGTTTAGGATAATTTGGTGGGTAGGGGATTAGGGAGTGGGGAGTGTTGATTGGCTGGGTGAGAGATAAAATCATGGGAAGTCGAAGCTGTCCTCTTGTGCTGAGTCAGTTCCTGGGTGGGGGCCACAAGACCAGATGAGAGTGGCACCTCCTGATTCATCGAATGCAGAATCTGTAAAATATCTCATGCACCAATTTTAGGTTTTACAACAGTGATGTCTTCCCTGGGAGCAACTGGGGTGGTTTCAAATCCTGTGGCCTCTAGCTGCATGACTCCTAAACCATAATTTCTAATCTGGTGGCTAATTTGTTAGCTCTACAAAGGGAGTCTGGTCCGCAGGCAAGAAAGTGGTTTGTTTTGGAAACAGCTGTTACCGTCTTTGTTTTAAAGTTAAACTATAAACTATGTTCCTTCCAAAGTTAGTTCAGCCCACACCCAGGAATGAACAAGGACAGTTTCGAGGTTAAAAGCAAGATGGATTCAGTTAGGTCAGACCTCTTTCACTGTCATAATTTTCTCAGTTATGATTTTTGCAAATCTAGTTTCAGTTGTGCTATCAAATGCTAAGTCTTATTCATTCTTTCTATTTTTTTGTACCCATTAACCATCCCCACCTCCCCTCCACACCCACCCACTATCCTTCCTAGCCTCTGGTAACCATCCTTCTGCTCTGTCTCCATGAGTTCAGTTGCTTGAACAAATGGATATCAGAGGATGTAGGAAATGACATTGATCTATTAATAAAAACAATAAAAGACTTGAAAATAACACAAAAAGATAGGCATGTGTTCTTTTAATAACATACTGAAGCATCATCTAAAAGGACACCCCAGGTATTATTTAATTCTCTAAGGTATGTACCTTTATTAACATACTATTGTTTGTGCATACACCTATGAAGTTAAATGTTAATTTGTATTTTTTATCTGATAAAGATGCAAATGATTTCTGTCTGGTAGAACAAAGCAATACGATTTTATTGTCCTATAGGGCATTAACTAGTTCTGAATCTAATATAGCAATTTCATTCCAAAAGTCTTTCTTCAGTTTTAATAAATACTCCTCAGCTCTTCAAATGTTCTTTGAATCAGGCTTATTATTCTGCCGATTAACTCTAAGTTCAATAAATTTGACATATATTTATTTATTCTATATTTTTATCATATGTTAGTTTGTTAGGGCTGCTATAACAAAATAGCACAGGCTGGGGGTCTCAAACAACAGAAATTTACTTTCTCATGATTCTGGAGGGTAGAAGGCCAAGATCAAGGTATCTGTAAGTTTGATTTCTCCTGGGAACTCTCTCCTTGACTGGTTGCCCTGTCACTGTGTTCTCATATGGTCTTTTCTGTGTGTATGCACATTCCTGGTCTCTCTGTGTGTATCTGAATTTCCTCTTCTGATAAAAACATCAGATTGGTTTAAGGCCCTCACTAATAGCCGTATTTTAACTTAATCATCTCTTTAAGGCTCTATTGTCAAATGCAATCATATTCTGAGTTACCAGGGGGGTTAGGGCTTCAAAATGTAAATTTTGGGGGAACACAATTTAGTTCATAACATGTGAAAATCATGTTTGTTACTTTTTTTTTTCAAATTATGCCTTGGTAGTTTTAGAGGTTACACAAATAAATATTTGGCCTATAAGGCTGTATTGTCAAATGCAATCATATTCTGAGTTACTGGGGTGTTAGGGCTTCAAAATGTGAATTATGAGGGAACACAATTTAGTTCATAACATGAGAATCATGTTTTTTAGCTTTTTTTTTCCAAATTTATGCCTTGGTAGTTTTAGAGGTTACACAAATAAATATTTGGCATGTTGATTCCCCATTCTCTATTTTAAAAAATACTTAGGACGGGCGTGGAGGCTCACACCTGTAATCCCAGAACTTTGGGAGGCCGAGGTGGGCAGATCACTTGAGGTCAGGAGTTAGAGACCATCCTGGCCAACACGGTGAAACCCCATCTCTCCTAAAAATACAAAAATTAGCTGGACATGGTGGCGGGTGCCTGTAGTTCCAGCTACTCAGGAGGCTGAGGCAAGAGAATCGTTTGAACCCGGGAGGCAGAGGTTGCAGTGAGCCGAGATCGTCCCACTGCACCACAGCCTGGTGACAGAGCAAGACTCCAACTCCAAAAAAAAAAAAAATACTTAGACCAACTCTTTCAAACTTCATATTGCCCATATCTCTCAGATACTTGCAAAATGAAACTTGATGTTTGATAGAGGTTGAGTTTTCTGGGAAGTAAATGATGAGCTGGAATTATGAGGGAAAATGTTTATTGTAGAATAACAACAGATGGGGAAAGAAAAGGGAGATAAGGCAGATTTAGACATGCGGAGTTGTTAGGACATGATTTGTACTTGACAAAACTTCTGAACATCAACTGAGAACTCTGGAATAAAGATTACTCAATAAAAATATCTTTCCTTGGAAGTTGCCTATGCCCTTGTACCACCACCATGCTCAGTCATTGGCTGATTGCTTCAGGAGAGCATGACTTTGGCTCAGAAGTTGATAGGGATTCTGTTAAAGCTAACGGTTGGAGGCTGTCAACTAACCACAGCCTTCAGAATTGGACAGCAAGTTCTTTCTTGAAGAGGTCTATGAGTGATGTATCCGTAGGTCTGTCACAAAGTTTAAATCACAAGAAAAAAAAAGATATATGAAAAGGGAAAGAAATACAAAACCATTCAAAATATTTTAGTAATGGTAATAATTTATAACATATTTAGTTAATATGTGCCACAGACTATTTAACAGTTCATAATATTATCCTCTTTTTCCCCCATTTTCCTCAATCCAAAGAGGAGAAAATTATAAATAAACGAACTGAATCTTTTTACTGTCAATGATTTTAATTGTCATATTTGAGCACTAAGAAATGTTAACAACAAAAATACATTGTTTAGAAAGGAATATCGCATTTTTAGTAGCATATTCTGATTTGAAATCATTTAACTTCGAGGGTAATTTATTTAGAATTATATTCTAGCATAAAAATAGCACAAAATTTTAAATAGAAATTAATACATGTCATTTAATAATCCCTCCAAACAAAATTTATTGAGGGATGTGCATGCTTACAGGCATGTATAATTCTAAGTATTGAGCTACAAACATTTATGTATATCTATTAATCATTAGGCTTTTACAGATTTTCAAATAAACTAAAAACAGTATTTTAAAGTTTTAAAGAGAGTGAAACATGTAACACTTCAAAGCCTGAATTTTCATTTTTGACTTTTTTATTTTTAATTGAAATTATTTTATTACTTAAATATGCAAGAAATAAATAGGGCAGTTTGTTGAAAACATGTATTCATGGGTTAAGTAATTAGATCCATGTTCATGAAACTGAGAACTATCTGATAAAACTGCTTGAATTAAGAGTCCAAAAACTATACACTGAACTGGATATCATCTATAAAACTGATCATTACCTTAAGCAGTTAAATTTTAAAACTCTGTAAATCTGCTTGGTGTGGTATATGTCTTGGCTCTGTGTCCCCACCCAAATCTCATCTTATATTGTAATCCCCATGTGTCAGAGAAGGGGCCTGGAGGGAGATCACTGGATCATGGGGTGGATTTCTCTCTTGCTGTTCTTGTGATAGTGAGTTCTCATGAGAGCTGATGATTGAAAGTGTGGCACTTCCCCTGTGCTCGCTCTCTTCTCTCTTGCTCTCTCTCTCTCTCTTTCGCCTCCACATAAGACATGCCTTTCTTCCCCTTTGCCTTCTGCCATTATTGTAAGATTCCTGCGGCCTCCTCAGCCATGCAGAATGGTGAGTCCATTAAACCTCTTTTCGTTATAAATGACCCAGTCTCAGGTAGTTCTTTATAGCTGTGTAAAAATGAATTAATACAGTGTGCCTAAAAATACCTCAAAATTAGATGATTTATGTCTAGATTCCACCTCAATAAACAATAATGGTAAAATTTGGAAGTATGATTAGGTAATAAAAATGGAAAAAGTAACAGATATTTCTATAAATATGTAAATTTGCAAATAAAACAGTGTTTGATAGATCAACAGAATGACTATAGTTAACAATAATGTATTGTACATTTGAAAATAGCTAGAAGATAATAATTCAAATGTTTTTAGTGTAAAGAAAAGATAAATACTTAAGGTATAGATATCCCAATTGCTCTGAATTGTTCTTTTCACATTATATCAATTAAAATATCACATATACCCTAAAAATATACACATCTATTATATATTTTTATTTAAAGTTACACTCTTCATTGATTAATATTTCCCAAATGGCTTTACCTTGTTTTAAAAACTTAACTCTTCCTTGTGTCAAGTAATTACCTTGGATAATTTCTTTTAAAAGAATTAATAATTGTTAAAGGAAATTATCTTTAAAAAAACTAACTTTATGTGGTACAGAATCTCCCTTTTATTTCCCTCTCTCTCTAAATTGTAGCTGTGGTAAGGCTTGTAAATTAAGAAGTGTTACACTCTGGTAACATCTTCAGGATATCTTTTTAATTAGTCTCTAGAGTGAAAATTTCCAGAATATTCAAATGCATCCCCAAATAACACATTTTCAGCGAAACTTTGATCCAGGACTTTTTTAGCACATTTATTCATTTATACAATTTTCTCAAACACAAATTAAGTATATTTTGCAGCCCCTATGATTGAAAACAATATTCTCTCTTAACTCCGCCAGATCCCTAAGCACCTTTAAACAAGAAATATTAAGGCCTCCTTATCTAACATCTATTAATAAATGTATCTCAAATTAAAATTTTTCAAGTATTGGGTTTTTCTATTTGCCCAAAAGTCCCCTCCCCAATACATATAGTTAATTGTTGCAATGATCCCTAGTAACTTACTAGTAAAATGGTTATTTTCCTCAGCACAACACACATGGGCTCCAAGTCCTTGTCCCTGCCTTTCTGTCCAGGCTTATCTGGCAACACTCTGTCTTATAATTTAAGTGTTAGCAAAAGCAATGGTAACTCCTCTCTTCCAGATAGCCATTTCAACACACTCTTTTTCACTCTTTTCTAAAAGTGTACTGCAGAAAAAAAATTTGATACAATTGAACACCTCTTCATGATAAAAACACAACAAACTAGGCCTTGAAGTAACATATCTAAAAATAGTAAAGGTCATATATGACAAACCCACAGCTAACATCATAACATCATACCGAACAGGGAAAAATTGAAAGTCTTTCCTCTAAGAACTGGAACAAGACAACAATGCCCACGCTCACCAATCCTATTGAACACAGTAGAGGAAATCCTAGCCGCAGCAATCAAGCAAGAGAGAAGAGTAAAACTGGAACATAGGAAGTCACATTTTCCCTCTTTGCTGATGATATGATCTTATATTATAAAACCCTAAAGCCTTCACCAAAAATCTCTTAGATCTAATAAATAAGTAAATTTGGAGGATAGAAAGTAAACATACAAAAATAAGTAGCATTTCTATATACCAATAATGAACTACCTGAGAAAGAAATCAGGAAAGCAATCCCATTTACAATAGCTACAAATGGATAAAGAAAATGTGGTATAGAATACTATTCAGCCATAAAAATATTATGTCATTTGTAACTATTGATGAAACTAGAGGTCATTATTTTAAGTGAAATAAGTCTGACATGGAAAGACACAAACATCACACGTTCCCACTCATGTGGGAACTAAGAAAATAGATCTCATGGAGGTGGAGAATAGAATGATAGATACTAGAGGCTGGGAAGAGTATATGGATGGGGAGCAGATAAAGAGTGATTGGTTAGTGGTTACAAGTATGTTAGATGAAAGGTGTAAGTTCTAATGTTTGATAGCAGAGTAAAATGACTGTAGTCAATAACAATGTATTGTACATTTCAAAATGGCTAGAAGAGAAAACTTGAAATGTTTCTAACACAGAGAAGTGATAAATGATAAATGCTCAAGGTGGTGAACACCTCAAATACCCTGACTTGAAGAGTTATTACACCACCTATGTATGTAACAAAATAAATTTTCTTAAAAAGAAGAAAAAAAGACAAGTGTTCCACTTTTCTCCCTGTAGCATTCTATGCATGTCTTTATCATTTTTTTCTTCTCATTTTATTGTGATTATCAATACTTGTACAATAGTTTACTTCAATGAGGCGTATGTTGTAGACATCTTTGCATCACATGTTTCAAGCTCTGGCAATGTGATATTTTTCTTCTAAATTCACAATAATATTTTCAAGAGTTCATGGATGTTTTTTCACATATAGATAGCCATAGCCTAATGTACTGATATTGAGTGTTCAGAATGTACAAAGAGTAAAATCATAGTGAATATATCAAGCTGAGTCACTTTTTCTCTTTTATTTTTTGTATATGACAACTTTCTCCTAATACTAAGAGAGAGAGAGAGAGGGGACTGACTTGAGTAAAAATAAAAATAAAAATTTAGTACCTTTTCCCCTCATTAACCTCCTGCTGGTGGGTTGGCATTGTGTGTGCAATATATTGACTCCCTGTATTTTTCTATTTCTTTTTTTTCTTTCTTTTTTTTTTTTTTTTGAGACAGGGTCTCACACTGTCGCCCAGGCTGGAGTGCAGTGGAGGGTTCTCGGCTCACTGCAACCTCCGCCTCCCAGGTTCAAGCGATTCTCCTGCCTCAGCCTCCTGAGTAGCTGGGACTACAATTTTTAGTAGAGACAGGGTTTCACAATGTTGGCCAGCATGGTCTTGATCTCTTGACCTCGTGATCCTCCTGCCTCGGCCTCCCAAAGGGCTGGGATTACAGGCGTGAGCCACTGGCACCCGGCCGACTGCCTCTATTTTTCTAATGCTGTGCTTTTTCTATCAGAGCTTTTTAGAATTCCTATTAAATGGCAATTCTGTTTACTTCCTGTATTAGCAAACTGATATATATTGTCAGGTGCTGAGCATGGGATAGGTTGTATTTCTAAACACATTACTATTGATTTCTGGCTCCTTTGAAATTTTCCTCCATTGTTCTAAATCTGCCCTGTTAGATTGGTCATGTATTTTCACTGAGACCTTTGTGTTATAACTGAATCCCCATTTAGCTTCCCTCTATTAGGCTTATTTTTCTGTGTTAAAGTTCCTGTTGATTTTGGTAACTTAGAGAAAATACCATGAATCTAGAATCATTTGTATTTACAAAGTCATTCCATCTGCATCAGAACTGTTTGATTCTATTATTTTTGACTGATAGAGATTAGTGAGAAACATGGAATTAGATAGTTTTGCTATATGAACAACCAACCCAATCTCAATGGCTTAAAATAGTCATTATTAGAGTTTCCTAGAGGTCACCTGGTTTAGGTTAGACTCAACTGAGGGTCTTGGGTTTAACTCCTTTATGTATCTGTAGGTTGAATGGCAGGCTCTAGGCTGGGAGCCAAGAAGCTTAGCTGCAAAGCTCTGTTCCATGTGCCTTGAATCCATGAATTTTGAGCCATCCTAGATAGTTCTACCTCAACAGATATAATGGAAGACTGTCAGTTTGGGTCCCCTGAGAGACAAATGATAAGATAGTATTGGATATGTGCAAGACTTATTGAGAGAAATGCCCTTGAAGGATAAAGGGGATTGGGAATCAGATTAATGTGGACACACTTTAGACTCCAGTGCAGATCTTACACTTGTGAAAGGGGAGAAAAGAGAGTAAGAAGGATCAGCAGAAGGAGCCTTAGAGTGCAATGCAGTTTGAGAAAGTCTTGGCCAGTTTAAAGGTGAGTCTCAGAACATAGATGCCCATTAGATGAGCCCCAGGAGTCCCACGTTGACATGGGACTGGCTTTTGTATACCAACTGTATTCAGTCACTAGCTAAGACCAACCTGAGAAGAGCATGGCTTTTGCATGAATGCGGAGGCAAATCCAATGTGTGTGTCAGCTGGAGGCTCTCAGATAATTACTCTTCTCCAAGTTCTCTTTTGAAAAGAAATTTGAGTGGCAAACATAATGATTGCTCCTAAGATTCTTTCCAGAAAATGAAGATCAAGATTTCTTTTAATCAACTAAATATAGGCTCTTGGATTTATTCTGCATTAACTAGCATGTAAGGTTTCACTTCTTGATTAATATAATCATAAGAGAAAGAGAATAGAAAAACTTTTATTTGGAAAGTCACTCAATGAATTAGTTTCCTTGCTGTATGCTCTCTTGGCTGTAAGCTAAAAACAAACAATCCACAATAACCAACACAATACTGAAGCAGAAGATCAAAGTTGGAGAACTGATACTACTTGATTTAAAGTCTTGTATTTTAGAAGTTTTGTAGTTTCACATAATACATTGAGGTCTGTGATCCGTTTTGAGTTAATTCTTGTGAAAGGTGTAAGGTTTGTGTCTAGATTTAATTTTTTGCATGTTGATATCCATTTGTTCCAGTATAATTTTTGAAAATACTATCCTTTCTCCATTGAATGGCTTTTGCTTCTTTGTCAAAGATCAGTTGACTATATTTATATGGGTCTATTTCAGGGATTTCTATTCTGTTTCACTGATATATTTGTGTATTCTTTTACCAATATCATACTCTTGATTACTGCAAAATTGTCATATATATGATTTGCAAATTTTTTTATTCCATCGGTTATCTTTTCATTTTGCTGATTGTTTCCTTTTCTGTGCAGAAGCTTTTAAGTTTGATGTAGTGTCACATGTTCATTTTTGCTTTTGGTGTTGTGTCCAAAAACAATTATTGCCAAGACTGATGTCAAGGAGCTTTTCTCCTAAGTTTTCTTCTAGGAATTTTATGGTTTTAGCTCTTACATTTAAACCTTTAATCTATTTCGAGTTTTTTTGTGTGTGTGTATGTTGTAGGTTAAAGGTCCAATTTCATTATTGTGCATATGGATATCCACCTTTTCCAGCAAAAATTTTTAAAGAGACTGTCTTTAGTTAGAACACCAGAAGCATGACGCATGGAAGAAAAAACATGTATAATTTGAACATTTTTGAAATTAACGTGTTTTGTTCTGTGAATGTTAAGGGAATGAAAAGACTAGCTATTGACTTGGAGAAAATCTTTTCAAAAGACTTATCTGATTAAGGACTTGTAGCCAGAATATGCAAAGAAATCTTAAAATCCAGCTGTAAGAAAACAAATGTTGTAGTTTATTCAGGCTGCTAAACAAAATATTTAGACTGAGTAATTTGTAAGCAAAATAAATTTATTTCCTATAGTTCTAGAGGCTGGGAAGTTCAAGGTCAAGCCACCAGGAGATTCTCTGTCTGGTGAGGCGCCTCTTCCTCATAGATGATACCTTCTTACTACACCCTCACATAATAGAAGCAACAGACAAGCTTCCTCAGGCATCTTTTATAAGGACACTAATCCCATTCATGAATGCTGCGTCCTCATGACCTAATCACCTCTTAATGGCCACACCCCTTAATAGTATTGTATTGGGAATTAGGTTTCAGCATATGCATTTTGGGGCAACACAAACATTCAGATTATAGAAACAAACAAACTACAAATCACAAAAGATCAGAATAGACACCTCACCAAAGATGTTAAACAGATTGCAAATGTGCACATGAAAATCTGCTCATCATCATATGTTATTAGGGAAATGCAACTTACAACAATGAGATGACACTACATATCTATTAGAATGGCCAACCTTTTTTTTTTTTTTTTTTTTTTTTAATGATAATACCAAACAAGTAGTGGTGAGGATATGGAGCAGAAACACTCATTCATTGCTGGTGGGAATGCAACGTGGTATAGCTATGATGGAGGACAGTTTGGCAGTTTCTTTCAAAGCTAAACATAGTCTTACTATACAATCCAGCAATTACGTTTCTTAATATTTACCAATGAGTTGAAACCTTATGTCACATGAAAATCTCCACATGAATGTTTACTGCAGCTTTAGAAATTTATAATTTCTAAAACTTGAAAGCAACCAGATATCCCTTAATAGATTAATGGATAAACAAATTGTGATATATCCATACAATGGAATATTATCCAATGATAAAAAGAAGTGAGCTATCAAGTTATAAAAATACATGAGGGGACTTTAAAGGCTATTGCTACATTAAAGATGCCTATCTTAAAAGGCTATACATGGTATGAATTCAAATATATGATATTCTGTAAAAGGTAATACTATGGCAAGAGTGTATTAGTCCGTTTTCATGCTGCTGATAAAGACATACCCAAGACTGGGCAATTTGCAAAAGAAAGAGGTTTAATGGACTTATAATTCCAAGTGGCTGGGGAGGCCTCACAATCATGGTGGAAGGCAAAGAGGAGCAAGTCACTTCTTACATCAATGGCAGCAGGCAAAGAGAAGTCTTGCGCAGGAAAACTCCCCCTTATAAAACCACCAGATCTCATGCGACTTATTCACTATCATGAGAACAGCACAGGAAAGAACTGCACCCATGATTCAATTACCTCTCACTGGGTCCCTCCCACAACACCTGGGAATTCAAGATGAGAATTGGGTGGGGACATAGACAAATTATATAATTTCACCCCAGCCACTCCTAAATCTCATGTCTTCACATTTCAAAACCAATCATGCCTTCCCAACAGTGCCCCAAAGTCTTAACTAATTTCAGCATTAACTCAGATGTCCACGGCCCAATGTCTCATCTGAGACAAGGCAAGTCCCTTCCACCTATGAGCCTGTAAAATCAAAAGAAAGTTAGTTACTTCCTAGATACAATGGAGTTATAGTCACTGGGTAAATACAGCCATAACAATTGTGAGAAATTGGCCAAAACAAAGGGGCTACAGGCCCCATGCAGGTCTGAAATCCAGCAAGGCAGTCAAATCTTAATGTTCCAAAATGATCTTCTTTTACTCCATGTCTCACATCCAGGTCACCTTGATGCAAGAGGTGGGTTCTCATGGTCTTGAGCAGCTCTGTCCCTGTGGTTTTTCAGGGTACAGCCTTCCTCCAAGCTGCTTTCACAGGTTGGTGTTGAGTGTCTGTGGCTTTTCCAGGTACATAGTGCTAGCTGTCAGTGGATCTACTATTCTGGGGTCTGGAGGATGGTGGCCCTCTTCTCACAGCTCCACTAGGCAGTGCCCCAGTAGGGACTCTGGGTGGGGGCTCTGACTCCACATTTCCCTTGTGCACTGCGCTAGCAGAGCTTCTCCATGAGGGCCCCACCCCTGCAGCAAACTTCTGCCTGAGCATCCAGGCATTTCCTACATTCTCTGAAATCTAGGCAGAGGTTCCCAAACACTGATTCTTGACTTCTGTTTACTCGCAGCCTCAACACCACGTGGAAGCTGCCAAGGCTTGGGGCTTGCACCTCTGAAGTCATGGCATGAGCTCTACTTTGGCCCCTTTCAGCCATGGCTGGAGCGGCTGTGATGCAGGGCACCAAGTCACTAGGCTGCACACAGCAGGGGGACCCTGGGTCTGGCCCATGAAACCGTTTTTTTCTCCTAGGCCTCTGAGCCTGTGATGGGAGGGGCTGCCGTGAAGACCTCTGACATGTCTTAGAGACATTTTTCCCATTGTCTTTGGCAATAACATTTGGATCCTTATTGCTTATATAAATTTCCACAGCCAGCTTGAATTTCTCCTCAGAAAATGGGATTTTCTTTTCTATGACATTGTCAGGCTGCACATTTTCCAAACTTTCATGCTCTGCTTCCCTTGTAAAACTGAATGCCTTTAATAGCACCAAAGTCACCTCTTGAATGCTTTGCTGCTTAGAAATTTATTCTGCCAGATACCCTAAATCATCTCTCTCAAGTCCAAAGTTTCACAAATCTCTAAGGCAGGGGCAAAATGCCACCAGTCTCTTGGTTGAAACATAACATGAGTTACTTTTACTCCAGTTCCCAACAAGTTCCTCGTTCCCATCTGAGACCACCTCAGCCTGGACTTTGTTGTCTGTATAGCTATAAGCATTTTAGGCAAAGCTCTTCAACAAGTCTCTACAAAGTTCCAAACTTTCCCACATTTTCCTGTCTTCTTCTGAGCCCTCCAAACTGTTCCAGCCTCTGCTTGTTACCCAGTACCAACATCGCTTTCACATTTTCAGATATCGTTTCAACAGCACCCCACTGCTGGTACCAATATACTGTATTAGTCCATTTTCACACTGCTGATAAAGACATATGTGAGACTGGACAATTTACAAAAGAAAGAGATTTAACGGACCTACAGTTCCACATGGCTGGGGAAGCACCACAATCATGGCAGAAGGTAAAAGGCACATCTCACATGGCGGCAGACAGGAGAAGAGAGCTTGTGCAGGAAAACTGTCCCTTATGAAACTATCAGATCTCACAAGACTTATTCACTATCATGAGAACAGCACGGAAAGACCTGCCTCCATGATTCAGTTACCTCCCACTGGGTCCCTCCCACAAAACATGGGAATTCAAGATGAGATTTGGGTGGGGACATAGCCAAACCTTATCAGAGAGTAAAATAAGTGGCTTTCAAGTGTTCAGGGGGACAAAGGGAGGGAGGAATAGGTGAAGCAATGAGATTTTTACAGTGGCCAAACTATTCTGTGTAGTACTGTAATTGTAGGTACAAAACATTATGCATGTGTCAAAACCCATAGAACTTTACAATACTAACGGTGAACCCTTAGATAACCTATGAATTTTAATTAATAACAATGTATCAATATGGGTTTACCAGTTTTAACAAATGCATCACACTATTCAAGATGTTAATAATAGTGGAAAATTTTGGTGGGGAGGAGTTTTGGGAATTTTCTTGTACAATCTGCTCATTTTTTGTGTGAACCTAAAACTGCTATAAGAAAATGAAGTTGGTTGTTAATCTAAGAAAATCAAACAATAATGCCAGTACTCATTGACTCATGTTTTAGTGATCTTTGTCTTTCCTTTGACAGGTTTTAGAAAGATATAAATTGCCCTCCTAATTCTGCCTTTTGCCAGTTATATGATCTTGGTCCATTTTCTGAACCTCAGTGTTCCCATTGGTGAAATATGGTTAACAATACGCAACAGATAACATGTTGAGGATACCTGCAGGAGGAAGAGTTGCATGAGATCTTCAATACATGTCCCTTCCTTTCACCTTTTTTAAATATTCTCTCCTAGCAATAAATAAATAAATAAATAAATAAATAAATAAATGTGGGGCTTCCCCAGCCATGTGGAACTGTAGGTCCATTAAATCTTTCTTTTGTAAATTGCCCAGTCTTGGGTACCTGCAGGAGGAACAGTTGCATGAGATCTTCAATACATGTCCCTTACTTTCCCCTTTTTCAAATATTCTCTCCTAGTAATAAATGGGAACAATTTGAGACAAACATCCCTTGCATATTTTCTTATTGAACCATGTTTATTTCAATACCCACTCTCCTTTCCTCAATATCACTCAAATTTTTGTATTTTGTTCTTCCTTTTTTTATATTTTCAGATCTCAGAACACAACTTAGAAAGTACCTAGAGTATTTACAATAGGGTAGAAATAAGTTGTTCAGCATTCTATTAAGGAATTATTTTTGGTGAATTGTTGAGGCAAATTGTTTGGTGAATTGACTGTACTCTAGCCATAGCACCATGAGAGATTGAAAAAATAATCATGAATAAAACATAAGTCCTGCTTTTAAGTAATTCACAGTCAGAGAAGATGCATGAGAAGAAACCATACTGATATAGTCATCAACACCTCAGTGTGAATTCATTTTAGATAGTTTTCTCAGACATATTGATGCATGAGATGTGGCCTCAGCATAAGAATGCTGTGAATCCCAGTGGGAGAAGGTATCCCTTAAAGGAAGGTGGGGAATTAGAGAAATTGAAGTTTACTAGCACTAAATAATACTCTACTTACTTTGAAATTATATTCATTAAGAGCAAATACTCTCCCCTTAAAATCCTATGCTTTGAAGTGAAAAATTCAGTATGAAAGATTTGTATCGGTGGAAACAAAAAAAAAGAATTATTTATGTACATTAAGCTTTAAAGAGATTTTGGATTTTTAATCCTTTTATATTGTTTCTAAGAAACTCATTTTGGTCTTTTTGCACTACAAAATTAATGTTCCTACAGTGTTTGAACTTTTTGTTTCTCCTGCATGTATAAACTTTGAATATAGGTTTCAAAGAAAATTTAATAATCTTGTTTTGTTTTACATTTCCTTAATTAAGGTGTTAATTATGATCAAACTGCATGACATCACAATTTGTGAGGGTAAAATTCACTTTACCCTCACTCTAATTTTTACTAATTTTATTAATAAATGATGTGTTTTCAGCAATGTTTTAATTCTTTTTATTCATGAATATTATTTCCTAGATTAATGATATCTGTAGAACCTGAAATTAAAAAGCTATTCTGGAGCAATTAATTTATTTACCTGAATTTTCAATATTAACAGTGTTATTTTCATAATATTTATATTCATTCATTTCATAATTTAAGTTTTTCATGAAACAGTGTATATATTTTTAGGTAATACCCACAATTCTAAGTATGTATGTCCCAAATTTCCTGAAGCTCTCTTCAGAAAAGTTACAGAGAATATTAATTAGATATGTATATTAGCTCTTTATCTAGATAATAGGATATAAAATAGATCATTCAAATATAATAGTATGTTTGCCTTCCAACTCATCCCTACTTTCCTTTTTAAATATAGCATACTTTTAAAATATTATTTTGTATTATTTCAAAGTTAAAGAGACCAAAAAAAAAGCCCTACCATTTCCATGAAATTAAATCTCCCTTCTAGAAAAGATGTATTCAGCATCTACTTGGGATTCTTTGCTTTAAAACTTCTGAAAGATTTCACAAAATTAACCATGAAAACATGACCAGCAGCATATATTTTCCAATACAGTATCTTTCATCACCTTTATGTCTGTTGGATTTTTATTTCTCACTATGTCTCAAACCCTTAGTGTTTTACATAGTAGTTCTGTCTTAAGATATAATGAAACTTATTTTAGTACAGAGACTTTTATTAAGAATAATACAGTGAATTTTATTATGGTGTATTAGACCAGAATCTAGACAAATATTCTTACAGTGGATGTGGATGTTCTTATGAATCTATTACACTCTAGAGATTAAAATTTCTACAATAACATCAAATACTTCCTAGTGGACACAAACAGATATGATATACTATGAAGAATAAAACTTACAATTTAACCGTAGAATTTAGATTTCCAGCAGTGAATATATAAGCAATAAATTATACAAGTGACTTTACCAGCAGTAGTAGCAAATTTTGAATAGAGAATAAAGCAACTGTGTTCCAAACGTGTCAGGAGAACATTAGTAGTATCATTATAAATGCCAGATACCCACTCCTGCATCAATTCCACATATTTGAAATTCACTAGCTTGTGTGACCTCGAAGTTTCCAAATATTGAAGTTGTATCTGGCAAAGTGAATACCATAACACTAGTTACCTTGGCCCTAGAAATAGTCCCTGTTTTAGGGTTAAAGCATAATTACTTTATTACTAATGATAATTGGTGAAAATGTGAATAACCGGTAGGGGAAATGATATTGGCTTGAATGATTCTGAAGATCAGCAACTGAGCTTGCTATGTGATATATTTTTTTAAAATGTTTGAGCCAGCTGGTAAGACCTTGTGTCAGAGGGTAACAAAACTCCAGTTGGTGGGCTGACATTTAGGATTACCAATATATATAGTCCATCTGACCTTTTTTTACACTTCCTTTTGGTGAGACTGATAACTGATATTCAATACAAAGTATTTAAATATAAACAGGTCATATTTGTAGCTGCCATGCTCAGAATAGTGATGCTGTAAGAGTATTCTAGCAGGTCTATTCTGATTCTCTCACTGTTGCAAAACCAGAAAATCTGAGACAGGTCTTAGTTAATTTAGACAGTTTATTTTGCCAAGGTTGAGGACACACCCATAACACAGCCTCAGGAAGTCCTGACGACATGTGCCCAAGGTGGTCAGGGCACAGCTTGGTTTTATACATTTTCAGGAGACATGAGACATCTATCAATATGTAAGAAGTAAATTAGTTCCATCCAGAAAGACACAGACAGCTCAAAGCAAGCCCTACCCCACCCCACTGAGGGCTTCCAGGTCACAGGTAGGTGAGAGACAGATGGTTGCATTCTTTTGAGTTTCTGATAAGTCTTTCCAAAGGAGGCAATCAGAATATGCATCTATCTCTGTGAGCAAAGGGATGACTTGAATAGAATAGGAAGCAGATTTGCCCTGAGCAGTTCCCAGCTTGAAGGGTCCCAAAGGTATTTTTCTTACATACTCTGTTTTCTGCTCTTTATCTCTACGTTCTCATTATTGATTGCTATTTCAAGGTTCTGTCATTTCTTCTTTCATTGTTCTCAAGATCACTCTCACTTATTTTCAAATATTCTTTCTGTTGTTAAAACCTATTATATTTATAGCAACTAACTGAAAATAAATAAGAAATTAGAATACAAACAAATAAACAACACTTCAACAAATAAATCTTGGGCTGGGCAGGTACCACTTCAGAGTACCATCTATGCTTTTCCCATTGAAGAGAAACTGGCCATCCCAGAGGTGTTTCAGGCTGGCTATTTACTTGGCCACACTTTGTACTGTCTTCCCCTTAACCACCCAAGGACAGCTATTCCATAAAGGCTAAGCAATGCTTCATAAGAAATATTTTCCTCTGTTAGCATTTTGAATGTGTAATTTTAATAGAATGTGACAGTTAATAGTAGGAGCTGAAGAACAAGAGGTATGTGATGTAGAATAAAAGACAGAAACAACTATAATGTGCTATGACCAAAATGTACATGGAAGCAGACTAAGTAAGGTTTCAAAAGAGCATAGAAAAACACTCACTAAGAACCATCACGTATCCTGATGAAACTTCAGCCCAGTTCCAGTTTTATTGCGTAGATGTCTCCACAATAATTTTTTTTTCTGAGTTAAACGGAATGAGTTCTTGTTGTTTATATCAAACAGGGATATCATTAATTCTGACATGGTCTCAGAGCATCTAAATGACCACTGTGATCCAAGAACCATCATTTCTCTGGATAATAATGTAGCCTCTTTATTGCTCTGCTTCGGTCTTTGCTCCAGAATCTACTCTCCAACAGCAGTCAGAGAGGTCATTATAAATGCATGATAGATAATATCATAACTTGTGCAATAACCTACAATGATTTCACATCCCAGAGTAAAAATAAAAAGTGCTTGCCATGGCTTAAAGAGGCCTCCATGGCTATTCCTCTATACTTGTCCAGCTCCAATTAGGGGCACTGGCCTCTTGACTCTTCTGGAAATACTCAGCAAACTTTTTTTTTTTCCTTCAGTCATTTGCACCTGTTTCCTCTGCCAGAAGTGAAGCCTCTTCCCTAGACATCAACTTGGCTCCCCCTGTCACTTCCCATCACTTTGAGAAGCTTCACCCTAGCCCTTCACCAGCACTCTATGTTCCGTTTATAGTGTCATTATTTTACTAAATTGTTACAACCTGATGGAGCATATATTAATTTATTATGTTTGTGGTCATTCATCCCCTGCTAGAATAGAAGCTCTACAATGGACAGTGGTTGTTTTAGTATATGGGATCACTAGCCCCTGAAATACTACCAAGTACTCATAAAGCACTCAATAGATATTTTTTGAATTAATTAGTTAATATACAAAACTTATGTATCATAACCTCATGATTAGAATCATCTAATTTCACACTGAAGGAATATATGATAGTTAGAAGGGGATAAGGAAAGAGAGGAGAATATGAATAAAAAGGTGGAGTAACTAAATTAAAATACAATGTGCATTTATATCTTCACAATACAACTAAACTTCATCATCATTTGTCTAGAGATCTGAGACAAAAATCAGAAATAGAGAACAAGGAATGTGAGAATTAAAAGGAAATTACATTTAATAATGATGTTTATGTAAAATGTGATAGGCTAATTTAATATAAATCCAAGAAAGAAGCATAAAATGGAGGATATATGGTAAATATGTGACACATAAAATTTTTATTAAAGCAAATTAGTTTAACATCATTTTATCATCAATTACTTCCTTATTCACAATTCAGTTTCACCTCCTTTGTATATATTTTAAGCTGTAACTTTGACACAATTTATGACAAAGGAAATATATACTTCAATATTATCACACTGTTAGCCGAAAATATTTGAACAAAAATAAGTATTGCTTTCCAAATAATTTTCTTAAAGGAAGTACAGTCTTACCACTGAAAATTAAAACAACAATCTAGGTGAATTGTTATATTGTTCCAAATATGATTTATAAGATTCTAATGTTTTTATGACTTACAGGTCTTTTAAAAAACTATTTGAGAGACAGGAATGTATATTAGATTATTTTATCTGGTTTAGGTAGAATAAATGTAAGCAATGACAAGCGATATATACCTCATCATGCTTATATTTTCTTTTCTTTTTTTTTTTTTTGAGACAGTGTCTCGCTCTGTCGCCCAGGTTGGAGTGCAGTGGCGCAATCTAGGCTCACTACAAGCTCCTCCTCCCTGGTTCACACCATTCTCCTGCCTCAGCCTCCCGAGTAGCTGGGACTACAGGCGCCTGCCACCATGCCCGGCTAATTTTTTGTATTTTTAGTAGAGATGAGGTTTCACCATGTTAGCCAGGATGGTCTTGATCTCCTGACCTCGTGATCCACCCACCTCGGCCTCCCAAAGTGCTGGGATTACAGGCATGAGCCACCGCGCCCGGCCTCATCATGCTTATATTTTCTAAATATTGAAAAGACTTAATAGCAATCAATTATTCCCTCCTTTTCTCCCTCCTTTATCCTTTCCTTTCTTTCATCATATACATAATATATATAAATATTAGATATATAAAGTGCTTATAATGTATCAACGTACAACATCAGTCAAAATCCCTACCCTTAAAACAGACTAGTCAGTCTTCTTTTCTTCATTACATTTTCATTTCTTTCTGCCTTCCTTTCTTTCAATTATAAGATGTAATTCAGGAATATATCATTCCTCCCTTTTTTTTTCTTCTCCTCCTTTCCTTTCTCCCTTCCTTCCTTTTTTATTTTCTTCCTCCCTTCCTTCCACAGGTATTCCACGAATAAGTACATGTAAAAGATCCAAATGATACGGAAGTATAAAGAGTAAAATACAAATGCCTACAACTGCCCTTCTTGTATTCTACTGCTCAGAGAGCAAATGTGGGTCATGAGAATACTCCAAACAAATATTCTGCTTCAGGAGAAGAATGACAGATTTTGTATGGAGGTTTAGCAACAGAGTCAGTTGTAGATCAGTTGGTTTGGGGAATAATTACTCCAAACTGGTTCTTAAAAGAGGGAGGAATTTATGTTGTGAATTAGCTGTCAAAGGCTGGGCAATTTGTGTTTTCAAGAATGGTGAGGTGGAACAGTTAGGGCCTAAAAATATGTCGGTGCCAGAGTGGGAAATATTAAGTCCTTTGTGGTCTCTTACCTATATTTCATAATTATCTCTCATTGTCAAGTAATGAGATGCTCCCCCTGAGTTCATTTTCTACACATTTAAAACTTACCCCTGTGAACAGGCACATATTTTTTTTTTTTTTGAAATGGAGTTTTGCTCTTGTTCCCCAGGCTGGAGTGCAATGGCGCGATCTCAGTTGACCACAACCTCTGTCTCCCGGGTTCAAGTGATTCTCCTGCCTCAGCCTCCCGAGTAGATGGGATTACAGGCGTGCACCACAACCCCCAGCTAATTTTGTATTTTTAGTAGAGATGGGGTTTCTCCATGTTGGTCAGGCTGGTCTTGAACTCCTGACCTCAGTTGATCTGCCTACCTCAGCCTCCCAAAGTGCTGGGATTATAGGTGTGAGCCACCATGCCCAGCCAACAGCCAAACATTTTATAATTATTTTAATATTTGTGACAGAATGCTTCCTAAATGGTAACAACAGATTGCTATAAGGATTATTCCCAAAAGAAAAAAATCAAAATTTTTTATTGAATTTCAATAATGACCTACAACTTTACTACCTTCTATGGCTATGGGTTATTTATCTACAGGTTAAAACAATAAAAATAGCTGTGTTTCAGGATTTTGTATGATGTTGACTTTCATTTTCAAAATTAATTTCATATTTTCACTCATATTACCTGCTTATTATCACCTGTTTTTTTTTCCTTATTTTTCCACCCCCACTTTCTGATAATTATTATGCATATTAAAACAAACATATATACTATCAAACTGGGAAGGCATAAATTATTGCTGAGTAAAATCCCCATACCACTTTCCCCCAGTCCCACCTTTTGAAGGTAACTATTTCTAGGAGTTTGCTGCACAGTCGTCTTACTATATTTTATGAGTATTCCAGTATACATATGTTAAAGCAAAGGCAAACATTTCATCTATATATATACATATGTGTGTGTGAGAGTGTGCGTATAGGCATATAATGTCTTTTAAATACAAATTTAATTCTACAGTTCATATAATTTTGCATTTAAAAATAGAACAAAATCATCATGGATATTTTTTTGGATCAGTACATAGAGATTTATTATATTCTTTAACTTCTTTGTATTATAGGCAGACTTGTAACTAACAGCTCCTTTCCACTTTCTAATTTAATCTGATTTTGTAAATCAAAGATTGCACCACTTAGAATTGCACTGTATTTACTTACTGGATGAGAGTGATTGTCTAAAACATTCTCCTATGAATCAAGTAGCTAAGTCTTCACAATTTATTTCAAACGTCACATTCTCACAGCAGCCATCACCGACCACTGTCTATAAAGTTGCACCTCCCAACATACACCCACCCCATCACACTGTATCTTTCCTTTACAGTGCTAAGCACGATATGAAATTATCTTTTTTTTGCTTCTTCACTGGGACTAAATCTTCATTAATCAAAATCCTTGTTTGGCCTCTTCTTTGATCTATTTCCCCGTATCTAGATACCTCCCTGACACATAGTACATATTCAATATACATTGATAAAATGATTGAATAGATGAATGCATGGGTGTGTCCTTATTGCATCAACTTTACTTACACATTTACCTGTCCCTTATTTACCTGTCCTTTTACACTGTAGAATGTTGAGAATGCCAGGTTAGTGAACTGTAAGAAAATGATCAAGAATGCATACAAACTGGAAGACCTAGACTCCTAGGAGTAATTTCACAAAACGCAGATCTGAAGCTTGAAAAACTAAAGTTAAGAATAACTTGCAGGGTTTTTAGAATCATTTTCAGAGCATGACTCACAACAGCAAAAAGATCACAGTCTAATTTATTGAGAGTAGATGGGGCAATGTTATGAGGTGACAGAAAAAAAAGTAAAATGCCTTAGCTTCTATTTTGTTTCATTTTTTTCTTCTGCCAGAGTGAAAGAGCATCAGACTGGAGGGGATAGAACAAATAATTCAATGAAAACATTGAACTTTAAAACAAGAGGAGAGACTAAAATAATATCTCCCTCAGAATGAGTTGTGTTGTAAGACTGAAGACAGTCTCTTGATATGGATTCTCCTAAAAGTCAACTTTGATTCTAGGCATGGGTGTAAGTAATTTATCTGAAAAGTTATCTAAGAAAGCACAAGTAGGGAACACTAAGGTGGGGAAGAGAGAATGGCAATCAAAGGCATATTAATGAGTGGCTTACTCATACAAGTTTTGTCAGCCTTTTTGGGATTGGGATCAAAGCATCAGCAGTTTTTAAAGTTCCCCAGGTTATTCTAATATGCAGCCAAGTTAGAGCCAGCGTTCAAAAACTTAATATTTAAAGTGTGTTCCTTAGAGCAGCAGCAACAACACCAGCAGCATCTTGGAAGTATTGAGAATGCAGAATCTTGGGCCTGGCCCAGACCTGAAAAATCAGAATCTTCATTTTCACAGTATCCCCCAGTTATACACATGAACATTTAAGTTTGAGAAGATTTAGTACTTGATATGGTTTGGCTGTGTCCCCACCCAAATCTCATCTTGAATTGTAGTTCCCATAATCCCCAGGCGCCTTGGGATAGACCTGGTGGTAGGTAATTGAATCGTGGGGGTGGTTACCTCCATGCTGTTCTTGTGATAGTGAGTGAGTTCTCAGGAGATCTGATGATTTTATAAGGTACTTCCCCCTTCCTTCACTCTGCACTTCTCCTTGCTGCCACCATGTGAAGAAGGATGTGCCTGCTTTCCCTTCTGCCATGACTGTAAGTTTTCTGAGGCCTCCCTGGCTGTGCTGAACTGTGAGTTAATTAAACCTCTTTCCTTTATAAATCACCCAGTCTCAGGTATGTCTTTATTAGCAGCATGAGAACAGACTAATATAGTAAATTGGTACCAGGTAGTAGGGTGCTGCTGTAAAGATACCCCAAAATGTGGAAGCGACTTTGGAACTGGGTAACAGGTAGTTTGGAACAGTTTGGAGGGCTCAGAAGAAGACAGGAAGATTTAGGAAAGTTTGAAACTTCCTAGAGACTTGTTGAATATCTTTGACCAAAATGCTGATGGTTATATGGGCAATAAAATCCAGGCTGAGGTGGTGTCAGATGGAGATGAGCAATTTGTTGAGAAATGGAGCAAAGGTGACCCTTGCTATGCCTTAGCAAAGAGACTTGTGGCATTGTACCCCGACCCTAGAGATCTGTGGAACTTTGATCTTGAGAGAGATGATTTAGGGTGTCTGGCAGAAGGAATCTCCTAAGCAGCAAAACGTTCAGGAGGATGCAGAGCATAAAAGTTGGTAAATTTGCAGCCTGATGATGTCATAGAAAAATAAAACCAATTTTCTGGGGAAAATTACAAGCCTCCTGCAGAAATTTGCATAAGTAATGAGGAGCCAACTGTTAATCACCAAGACAATGGGGAAAATATCTCCAGGGCATGTCAGAGACCTTCATGGAAACCCCTCCTATCACAGCCACTAGGGCCTAGGAAGAAAAATAGTTTTGTGGGCGGGGCCCAGGACTCCCCAGCTGTGCGCAGCCTAGGGACTTGGTGACCTGCATCTCAGCCACTCCAGCCTTGGCTAAAAGGGACCAAGGTACAGCTTGGGTCGTGGCTTCAGAGGGTGCAAGCCCCAAGACTTGGCAACTTCCACGTGGTCTTGAGCCTGCAGGTGCACAGAAGTCAAGAATTGAGGTTTGGGAACCTCTACCTAGATTTCAGAGAATGTATGGAAATGCCTGGATGTCCAGGAATAAGTTTACTGCAGGGGCAAAGTCCACATGGAGAACCTCTGCTAGGGCAGTGCAGAAAGCAAATGTAAGGTGGGAGCCCCCACACAGAGTCCCCACTGGAGCACTGCCTAGTGGAGTTGTGAGAAAAGGGCCATGGTCCTCCAGACCCCAAAATGGTGGATTCACTGACAGCTTGCACTGCATGCCTGGAAAAGCAACAGGCACTCAACACCAGCCCCTGAAGGCAGCTAGGAGAGGGGTTGTACCCTGCAAAGCCACAGGGGCAGAGCTGCTCAAGGCTGTGGGAGCCCACCTCTTGTACAGTGCGACCTGGATGTGAGACATGGAATCAAAGAAGATCATTTTGGAACTTTAAGGTTTAATGACTGCCCTATTGGATTTCAGACTTGCATGCAGCCTGTAGCCCCTTTGTTTTGGCCAATTTCTCCCATTTAGAATGGGTGGATTTACCCAGTGCCTGTTCTCTCATTGTATCTAGGAAGTAACTAACTTGCTTTTGATTTTACAGGCTCATAGGTGGAAGAGCATGCCTTGTCTCAAATGAGACTTTGAACTTGGACTTTTGAGTTAAACTGAGAATGAGATAAGACTTTGGGGGACTGTTGGAAAGGCATGATTGGTTTTGAAATGTGAGAACATGAGATTTGGGAGGGGCTAGGCCTAAATGATGTGGTTTGGCTCTGTGTCCCTAAGCAAATCTCATCTTGAATGGTAGTTCCCATAATCCCCACATGCCCTGGGGGAGACCCAGTGGCAGGTAATAGAAACATGGCGGTTGTTACCTCCATGCTGTGCTCATGATATTGAGGGAGTTCTCACAAGATCTGATGATTTTATAAGGCACATGCCCCCACTTCACTCTGCACTTCTCCTTGCTGCTGCCATGTGAAGAAGGGTGTGCCTGCTTCCTCTCCCACCATGATTGTAAGTTTCCCGAGGCCTCCCCAGCGATGCTGAACTGTGACTCAGTCAAACCTCTTTCCTTTAAAAATTACCCAGTTTCAGGTATGTCTTTATTAGCAGTATGAGAATGGAGTGATACAGTACCACACATTGAAATCACTTGTGAAGTTTTACAAACATTAATACCTAAAAACCAAAGGCACCACCCCCAGAAATAGTGATTTTTTTAGTCTGGTGTACAGCCTGGGAAACGGGCACTTCACACCCTCCTCCAGCTGATTAAATTATGTAACAGGATTTGATGCTGCTGTTATTTCTGTTTGAGTTAGATTTAAAGAGGTTTCTAGGTTTCTTCTATAGTATCTCAATGCCCCGCCCTTATAAAGATTATTGTGCTAATTGTAAAGATTATCATTTCACTTTGATTCTTTGTTTTCTCAATTACCACTGAATTCTATGTTCTATTTTCTTTATTGTCTTGTACTTTTACATCTCATGTTTTTCACTCACCTGCCACTTCCTTACTTGATCCTTCTACCTGAGACTATATTTACAAATAATTCAGTTTTTCACCTTAGCTGCTCTTTAGAATCATATGGGAAACTTAAAAAATACTGATGTTTGGGTACTATGCCAGAGAATAAGATTCAATTATTTGTGGTAGTTTCAAATATGCCTTTTTTTCTTTAATTATAATATTCTGCTGATGACTTCAATGTGCACCTAGGATTGAGAGCCTATGGGTTTATTTATCTTGTCTGAAAATTTAAAAGACAAACAGAAAAGGATAAATGGTTGTATAGAACTTGTAAAATGCTTTTGTGTATAAACCCCTTAATAGTTCCATCTGTGCATTCTCATTTTATTGTTTAGTGCTATAACTGTACACTTTTAATGTTTAATAAATACTTGGTGAAAAACTGGAAATAAATAGTACTAAAAATTCTCTTATTTCATTTTCACAACACCCTTGAGCTAGATATTTTTTCATGATGCAGATGAGGTTATTTGGTGGAGTAAGGATCTCCGTGAATTTATGGTTATTAGAATAAGATGGATCATGTTATCATTCATAATATTTTTCCTAGCTAAGGAACAGAACTGGTAACACTTGCTCCATATTGCTCCCAGGGTAACCTCATGTGTATCTTGCTATAACATATGCAATCTAGAGGTATGAAATGTTAGAACAGTTATAAAATTGAGTGCTATGTAAATTCGTGGATTTTCATGAAGATGCATCCAATTCTGGGACAGGAGATGGATTACTTTTCCTGCTATTAAAAGTTCTACTCAGGCCAGGCGTGGTGGCTCACCCCTGTAATCCCAGCACTTTGGGAGGCCAAGGCAGGTGGATCACCTGAGGTTGGGAGTTCGAGACCAGCCTCACCAACATGGAGAAACCCTGTCTCTACTGAAAATACAAAATTAGCCGGGTGTGGTGGTGCATGCCTGTAATCCCAGCTACTCAGAGGCTGATGTAGGAGAATTGCTTGAACCTGGGAGGCAGAGGTTGTGGTGAGCCAAGATCATGGCATTGCACTCCAGCCTGGGCAACCAGAGCAAAACTCCATCTCCAAAAAAAAGAGAGAAAAAAAAATGTTCCACTCAGGCTAAGTGCAGTAGCTCATGCCTGTAATCCCAGCACATTGGCAGACTGAGGCAGAAGGATCACTTGTGTCCAGGAGTTTGAGACCAACCTGGGCAGCCTCTACAAAAAATAAAAAATTAGCCAGGCATGGCAATGCATGCCTGTAGTCCCAGCCATTTGGGAGACTGAGGTGGGAGTATCATTTGAGCCCAAGGGACCGAGGCTGCAGTGAGCTACGATCACACCACTGCACTCAGCCTGGTTGACAGAGTGAGACCCTATCTCAAAAATAAAAGTTCCGCTCAAGTTATTGTTGTCAATTTTTTTAGTATAAAATTATTTATATTTTCTAGTATTCAAAGAAGTTTAATTATCATCTATTAAATAGGCATAATGTCTAATTTATTGGTTGTAATGATATGAATTATTTATAAGCTATAATTACTGGACCTACAGGAGATGTATAGTATGGTAATTCTTAGTATTAATATTGATTATCTTATCAACGACATCTAATAAGGAGCAGAAATATATTTACTATTGATATGCTAATGAGCATGGCATTCATACATGCTTCTAGATATTCTAAATTTATTCATGTGATAAAATGAGCTTAGAGTTTCTTGAAGTGAGAAGTGTAAAAGCCTGGTCCCTCAGAATGTTAACCAGCTTTAGTCTCAAATAATTCTTGTGATAAAATGCGTTTGAAAAATACTAGTTTGAGTAACTTTTAGTAGGTTCCTTTGTGATGGCCTATTCAGAGCCTATAGTGTGGTTTTATTAGGAATATACAAAGGGTTATAATATAGTATACAGCATTTCAACAACTTAATTTGGGTATTTTGAACATCTTATTATATTATGGAATTGATATTCCTTGGAACACATTTTGAAAAACATCCATTTAAACCATTAGCTTATACCATATCAAGTTAGTCTCCAGAACAACTGACTTTTCTGAAATGCACTTTAATGTTTTGTGTTCAGTATCTCTCATAGGTAATTATAAGAAAGATCTCTATAATATATAGCATTCACCTTTGCTATGATATGTAATTTTCATCAATGTACACCTTATCATAAAATGATCTGTAGGTTAATTTCTATCGAGAATTTGTAGGACTTTAGTTCCAGAGATACTTACAAGTTCTCTAAATAAGTGCTATGCTTTTCCATGCTGATTATGAGAGCTATGTCGCTCCATGATGTTTGGCCTTCCTTGCTCAAATATCAAAAGTCAAATTTTATGCACACTTATTGCAGATCGTAAAAGCTCTCACTGTTGGATATTTTAATTTTTCTTCTTTTCTTGGACCAAATATTCAGAGTCTATACTGTATTTTTATTGTATATAGGTTTTACTTGAAGCCCCTACAAACCATTTCAGAGACGTGGCATAGAAGTAAGCTTTATAAATGGAATTCACTGCCTCCTATTTTTTCATGCCTCTTCTGGGCTATCTGTAATTACCCTTGGCTCCAGTGACTCTATGCTTTTCATTCTGAGCCTCAGCTGGGGCCATTTTTTTTCTCCTCAGGAAATCTTACCATTTGAGTATGAAAATGCCTCTTTTCCAGTCAAAGCTATCAGAACAAAAACCATTTCTTTATTTAACTCTCATTCATCTTTGCATGAAGGACGTTTCCAGTGGCAGAAACTCCTCTGCATCAAAATCATTAGAAATAAAATTGTTATTCCAAGCTTCTGCCTTTAATACTTTACCAAACATCTATTGAAGTTATATGACCTTTTCTCAGATTAACTGTAGTTCCTATCTATGATCTCCTGAGATTTCCTATGGAATGTCTGCTTCTGTCATGTTTTTAAGGATTGGACCAGTCATGTCCTATTTGTCCCCAGATCAATTACTGTCTTCCCTGCTCTCCCCTTCACTACCGGAGATAGACCACTGAAGACTATATGTCTCAGGTTTCCTTGTCAAAAAGATTCCTGTTGGGTTCGACCAAGAAGAGGTACTGGCAGTTGATTAAAACAAGGGAGGAAGCAAGAAGCCAGAGTATTTCCGTTACCTCTCTCTGATTAAGCAGTGTCTCCACAAAGTTGTTGCTTCTGCAGTATGTTTCCTCTGTGATTCTAGCCTTCAGTGGAAATTATCTTCATTCATGGTCTTAGCTCATACCTTTCATTCCCCACTGTGTTGCCTTAATTTTGTCATGTCTTCTTACCCCCTTTGTTCCTTCAGTCCTAGAAGAAGTAAGACCTTCCTGATGTTGAAAATCTCTGGATTACTTTGCTTTAGATTACTTTGCTTTTGTGTGTGTGTATTTTCTATATATTATTTTCTTTTTTTTTGAGACGGAGTCTTGCTCTGTCGCCCACGCTGGGGTGCAGTGGCACGATCTCGGCTCACTGCAAGCTCCGCCTCCCGGGTTCACGCCATTCTCCTGTCTCAACCTCTCGAGTAGCTGGGACTACAGGCACATGCTACCACACCCGGCTAATTTTTTTGAATTTTTAGTAGAGAGGGGTTTCACTGTGTTAGCCAGGATGGTCTTGATCTCCTGACCTCGTGATCCACCCACCTTGGCCTCCCAAAGTGCTGGGATTACAGGCGTGAGCCACTGCACCTGGCCGTGCGTGTGCATTTTCATTTCTTCCAACATATGTACGTATTTGCTATAGAACTATCTGGTGAGGGTTTCCTTTTCCTGCCTAGAATGTGACTTATATGAGTATTTAAATATTATCTTATTTTTTCCCAGTTTATGATTTCCTTAAGGAAGTATATTTATATTTTAATGAAAAATGTATTTCTAAAATGTTCTCACAAAGTTGTAACATATCTAGATTTCTATTTTTCATCTACTCATAAATAAACATTAATGCATTGTGACTTTGTTATTTAGTTGCACTAATATTTGTACACACAAATATATATTTGGTGACAAATTATGACAACTCCTTTTGTACATATATAAGTTGGTTTGATTTTGAATTCAAACCAGAATAATGGAAACCACATGTTTTTAAGAAAAATTCCATATAAACATGCTGGGTATATCCACTGCATTGAACTAACTTCCAAAATTAATAGATGTAGGAAAATGCCAACATCACATGCAGTGATAGCTAAGCATGGCTGGTAATTATTTGGTATTATAGTTGAGAACCACTGATTAAATATGCAATTTATAATGTACACTGCTGATATAAGTAGTTTTGTTCTATTGCTGCTGAGAATTAGCCATATTTCCATGTTACATGTGTATTTTGCATTTCATTTCGATAAACTCTTAAATATGTAATGGTCTCAACAGTTATAATTTTCATTTATCTTACACAAAAATAGGCATCATTGTATGGTTTTGATAGCTGGTTTGTCATGCAAGGTTTTAATTCTCTTTCCTTCAGAAATAGCATGTTCATGATAAAATAAGACAGATCAAAGAGAGTATATGTTTAAAATTTAGTTTCACGGAAGGAATAAAAATGTGGTCTCTGAGTAATTAGAAAGTATCATTGATTTTTCTCAGTATGATGATTGGTACAAAATCTATTCTGGAGTTTCTTTTTCATCAAGAAGGACTTAAGGTGGACTTAGATAAAATTATAGTATTAAGAGCGGCTTGAATATAGAGGAAAGCATTAGAACATAGGTTTTATAAATATTATTAAATGTATTTAGGCCATGTAAATAATGGAACCCATATTAGCAGATAATTTTTTAAATTTTGAACTGCAATTAATGGTTTTACTTTTATTTCTTTCCAAAATATCAGAGTCAGTAAATAAGGTTATAAGTAGCAATGGTAATATTGGAAAAGTAGGGACAAGCTTGAAAAGTGAAGTAGAGCACCTTTAAACATTACTCAAGGAAAATTAATTAGGTTTTCTTCGTTTAACTTATTTATTATTAAGGAAATGTGTCATCCTCTGCCACTATCCCTATCACATTAGAGTGTACCTTGGAAAAGAAATTCTCAAAATAGCCTTTTTTCGAGTTTAAATGAGCAAAACATATAGCAACAATGACAAAATTTCACCTTTTTAAAATT
This sequence comes from Homo sapiens, assembly GCF_000001405.40. Lineage (NCBI taxonomy): Eukaryota > Metazoa > Chordata > Mammalia > Primates > Hominidae > Homo > Homo sapiens. Next base: position 33,891,772 of record NC_000023.11, read on the forward strand.
CTATTTCTGGATAATGTATTTTTCTATTAATTAAAATGAAGGTTGCCTTTGTCTCTATACATAAAATCACTTTGGGATGTGTATTATTTCAATTATTGTGAAATACTGAAATGTATTCAACTAGACCATGTCTAGCAGACCCTAAATTCCATGTTCACGACTTGTGACTAAAATACTTGCAAGAATATAGAAAACAAACAAGAACAGAGGTAGGTGGTTAATTTGGTGTAAGAATCCACGAAAAATTTTCACTAGCATCAAGAACTGTGAAGCAATTACACTGGTTGTAAAAGAAGATGGTAGGGAGCTACATAGGCGACTCTCTCCCTGGTGTTTCCTTGGCTCCAGTGAAAATAAGCCCATGTAGATATTTCTCTGACAAATGCTACTTGTAGTTTGTAGTTCCGGAAGCCAGATTGTGAAAGTGGATTGGTGATAGCCAACGACATTCTGGGAAGTGTAGTTTTTCATACACAAACTGCCAATGTCAGGGGTATAATTTGGAAGGATTCTGGTAGCAGAATTATTCTCCATGAGTTTGGAAAGTCAGGAAGTGGAAAAAAATAAAACACCAAATATTTAGTTTCCATTCTTAATAAGTGGATGCTGCATATTTTTAGTTAAAATAACTTCTGTGTATATTAATTTTCCTGAAATTTACATTTGATATGCAGATACTTTCAGCTCCTTAAATGACAATAAAAGTAAAAAAAAAATAAGAAGAAGAAATGAAACAACAAACATCCTATGGAAACAAAACCTTTTCTGAAACCTGTGAGAAAAAATATATCTGTATGCTATTATTTTTCTCACAGTAATGTTTCTTGCAGATGGTTCTTGGAGATTTGTAGAGGTGTACCACCTTGTTGGTCTTTGACAAGATCCAGGCGATTTTTCTCCATTACCAGGCAGAGACTCGTGTTCTCTTCCCTTACTTTCTCCCAAACAAATAGAGTCTTTCTCTCTCTGTTCTGAGCCACCTAAAGCTGGGAATGGAGTAACACAAGCACCTCTGTGGCCACCACGACTATGACTGTGCTGGGTCAGACCCAAAGCCAGCACAGCACTGTGTCTCACCCAAGGCCTGCTGTTGACCACTCTCTGGCTACTGCCTATGTTTGCTCAAGTCCTTGGAGCTGTACAATCAGTGTGTGGCAAAGTCAGCCAGGCCTCTGTCTTTTCTTCCAGGGCAGCAAGTTCTCCCAGTTTCCAGGGAGTTCAAGAGGTGCTCTCTGGGAGACAGGGACTAGAGTAAATAACCTTAGAAATGTACCTGGTATTCTATTATACTGCAGCTAAGCTGACACTGAGACCACAAAATGGAGTCGTTTCCACCCTTCCATCCCCTTTTCAAAGGCAGAGGAGCCTCACCTTGTGGCCACTGCCACCACAAGCCTATGAGGAATTCTGCCAGACTACTGCTGTTTCCTGAAGACCCAAGGTCTCTTATGTCAGTTTGTCATGAATGCATCCTGACCAGAGACTCAGCCTTCAAGGCAGTGTGCTCCCCTCTGGCTCAGGGCAAGTCCAGAAATGCTGTCCAAGAGCCAAGTTCTGGAACTGGTGACCCCAAGAGCCCACGTGGTGCTCTAGCTCCCTGTGGCTGATCTGGTCACAGATCAAGTCCAAGACCAAGTGCCCTTTACTTTTCCCTCTACTCTTCTCAAGCAGAGAGTCTGACTTCATAGCCACCACAGTTGAGAATGTGTCGAGTCTCTCCTGAAGCCAGCAGATCTCAAATTATCACCCAAGGCCCTCAACGTAGTTCCCGGGTATCACTGCTGGTTATTCAAGGCACTCAGACTCTTCAGTTAGCAGGTAATGAATCCTACCAGGACTAGGTCATTCTTTCCCAGGCAGCAGGCTCCTTTCTGGCCTGAAGCATGTCTAGAAATGTCATCCAGGAGCTGCGGCCTAGAAAGAAGGCCTTATGCTTCCAACCACTACTCTATCTTACTGCAGCTGAGCTCGTATCCAAGGTGCAAGAGAAAGTCCTGTTTATTCATTCCTCTTCTCTCCTCAAGCAGAAGGAAGGGATCTTTTTTGGAGCCATGAGCTGTTCATCCTGGGGTTATGGGAGGGGTGATGCCAGCACTGCCTTAGCTGCCAAAGCTGTCGTCTGTTGTCCCAGTGGGTCACATGACCCCCCTAGTCTATTCTGGGCCCAGATCAGCACTAAAACTTTCCTAAAAGTAGCAGTCCTGGTGGCCTAGGCTGCTTTTCACATTTATTTAGAGCCACAGAGCAGTTTAGCCCACGGTGGTAAAGTTTGTGGAAACTTTTTGAGATCAGTAATTCCCCTAAGGCTAGAGGTGGTTTAAATGCTCCCTCCATTGGCAGGCATCTGCTGAGTTTGGTCTCATTTTCCTTTCTGCTATAACAGGACATCACTGAGTTAAATGTCTCAAAATTGCTGTACTCTCTCTCTCCCAGTACACAAAAATGCTCTCCATACCATGCTGTGTCTACCAAGTGGTGGGAGAGGGGTTACGTTGACGATTCAAGACTCTTTTTAAAATAGTTAGGATTCAAATAATAGAAAGGTCTCTGAACTGAAAAAATATTAAGCTTTCCAGTTGAAAGTATTCCATAGGTCCTTATTGGAGAGAAAACCTTATAAGCTTTCAGATAACAAGTAGGTTACTTGCAAGTTCAGAGGCCTTTCTATTATTTTAATCCCTGAAGTATTCAATAGATATACACTAACACATACATGATAATAATAAAGATATATACTGATTTGAGAGTAAATAAAATTTTATAATTATTTACATTGTCCTGGGAACAAAAAAGAGAAATTCTCAGACATGTTATGATTCAGAAAGAAAACCATCACTGTGTATCAAAAAACAAAGAATTAGGAATTTCAATATCAGAAATAATGCCATTGAAGGCCACATGCATCAAATGTGACAAAAACAGTATTTTGGTATCATAAAAAAAGATGCTGTGCAAATTATACATAGCAGTCATAAAATTTTATGCGACAAAAGACATAATTGTGAAAAACACAAGAAAGAATTCTCCGAGAAATAAAAAGTTAAAGTCTCTGTAATGGTTGTAACCTTCATTATACTCCTTTTAAAATTTGATCTGTCAAGTGTACAAAATGTAAGCAAAGATATAAAAGATAGGAATGCAATAAGCAAGTCAGCTGAAGATTTATTATTTCAATACAAATAAAGAACAGTATATTTACACTAATGGTATTATATATAATAGTATATAGTATATACTCTGAGGCAAGGGAATAATTCAGTTAACTGACAAGTTCCATGACCTTGTAAGCTTACATTCAAGTTGAAGAAACAGAAAATAAATTTTAAAATATTTTCAAAAATTTAAAGTTTTTAGTAAGACCTACAAATAAACAGGTGATAAAATTGTATCACCTGTTAAAGGTGATAAATAGAGTAACAAGGCCCCTTAGGTACAAATTAGAATGGAATGCACGGTGTGTGGAGAAAGCAAGGAGTCAGGGTGAAGATCACCTTTAGTTCTCAGCCCCTTTAGTTCTCAGCACCTTCAGGGGTCTCCTTGAGCTGCAGAGCTGTTTTCCCCCAATGCACACCCTTCTCAAGGTAGCCCACTTCCTATGACAGATCAAGGTAGGGTTATGAAGGCCCAGACATTTTGGCTAGGTGCTAGACAACTCTGATAGGTGATGTACTTTCCAGAGCACCCCATAAGATTAGCTGAGCTGTCAGGCCTGGATAAGACTTGCATTTCTCCTTCTGCTCAATTCTGAGTTTTTCTGCTCCTTTCTACAGGTAATAATAACAAGGGCATTCCTTAATAAACATACTGCAGACTACACTTTGCCTCAGCACCCAACCTGTAAAATACACAGGAGATAATATATGTATATAGGCCTCATTAAGCTATGGTAGCAACTTAGAGTTTTTTCAAACTGCAGTGGAATTAAAAGAAAAATTTTCAGCATACTTTTCACATGTCCACGAAATACTTACCAATATTGAGCATATACATGGCCATAAAAATGTACCTTAATAAGTTCCAAAAATTAGATATCACACAGGTCACATGCTCTTGATTTAATTATATGATCTATGGGTGCCTGAGTGTATCGTGAACTGCCAGTAGAATACAACTGAGGACCTCATGGTGTTCAATTATCTTCACTGCCTCTACCATATTTAAAAATTTTTATAATGTTTCACATTCATAAAATTATTCTTGACCTACAAATGTTCTTTTCTTGGGATTAATGAATGCTCATTTCATGGAATTTCTTGATTCTTATTTAGGTATTTGCTATGGTTTGAATGTCCCCTCTAAAACTCATGTTGAAATTTAATTGCCATTGTGATAATATTGAGAGGTGGAGCCTTTAAGAGGTGATTAGCTCATGATGGATGGATTAATGCCATTATAACAGAAGTGGGTTAGTTCTTGCAGGAATCCAGGCTCTGTGTCTTGTGTTCTTACTTGCCCTTCCGTCTTCCACCATCCACTGAGGGATAATGTGGCAAGAAGATCCATACCAGATGCAACCCCTCAGTCTTGAAACTTCCCAGGCTTCAGAACCATAAGCCAAATAAACCTCTTTTCTTCATAAACTGCACAGTCTGTTGTAGTTATTCTGTTATAGTAGCAGAAAACAGACTAAGACCACATTTATTCAAGAAGAGTTAGGTTGTACCTTTTCATGTTTTAGACAATATCCTAGGGACTGCGGATTGAGTGATAAAAATAACAGCCTTGCACTGACTGTCTAGGGGAAGTAAATGAAATTTCAAAAAACACATTCTTATCTAGAATTTTTCTATGTTCTCACCTCCCTCCCTCCCTCCCTCTCTTTATCTCTTGCTACAAATCTGTATCAATAATCCCATTCAATTTGACAAATATTTATTGACTGCTTCTTAAGTACTAGGAGGCAATGACCCGTATATTGTGAATACAACACTGGTCTTGTGCCTTTAGACAGAGATATTTACTCTAAAAATTTCATAAGGTTTCCCCTATCTAACCAGTAGAATCTTTCCATAGGTCTAGTGAATTTTCTCTTTTCTGTTTTAAGTAAAAGCTCAGCTGTGTTGATTTAGCTCTTGCTACAGCTGCTTCTCTGGGAGAAAATTCTTCTGTCCCTTGTTTGTTGAGGCTACCTGCTCCCAGAGGATCACCCAAAACAGACATTCCTTTATGCTTGCTTGCTGAGAAGTGTGTGAGTGTGTGTGTGTGTAATTCCATTTTTCTTCTAATGAGCTTTTAGCTTTCTGAAAATGAGATACTACTGCGTTTCTGTTAGAGTCTCCTCCTCTATTTCTCGGGATACAGAATTAGAAATAAAGTATAAGCATAAATACTAGGATATAATTAAAAGACAAATAAAACTTTATACATAACACCTGGGTGAATCAAAATGGACATTCTAGCCATGTTCAAATATCTACTCAATTGTTACCTTCTTCATGAAATGTTTTGTGATCCATAAATAGGTTAGAATGTCTTTCTTCTTGGAATGTTTATAGTTCTTTAAGATTTTAATAAGATATTCTCATAAAACTTGAAACTTTCATGTTGTTGATAGTTGAAATTAAGTGCCATCCTTCACATGACATATAGATTGATAAAGACAGACATTTTAGCCTAAATGATATAAGTAAAGATGATCAATATTGCACCCACACATTTACATAGGCATAGATTGTGCAGTGGTTCTTGCCTGTAATCCCAGCAATTTGGGAGGCTGAGGCAGGAGGATCACTTGAGCCCAGGAGTTCCAGACCAGCCTGGACAAAATAGCAAGATGTAATCTCTACAAAAAAGAGTTTTAAAGAATTAGCCAGGCATGGTACTGCATGCCTGTAGTCCTAGTTACTCAGAAGGCTGAGGTGGGAGAACCACTTGAGCCCAGGAGTTCCAGGTAGCAGTGAGTTATAATCACACCACTGCACTCCAGCCTAGGTGACAGAAGGAGAAATTTTTTTTTTTTAAGGTAAGGACAAAGAGAATGGTTCCCAAATTTTTCTATAGAATTATATCATCTGGATTTCTTTAAAAATCTTGATGCCTGGCTCCTACTTCAAAAATTCTGATTTACTCTATCTGAGGTGTGAGCTGGGCACACTCAACTAAAACCACTAAATTAGGGTCGTAGCTCTTCTTCCACAAATGAGAGGTAAAGATATTTAAATTTGTCTTATAAGTTAGGGTAATACCCTTTAAACTCCGATTGTAGAAAGGAATAGCCGTCATTCTTAAGAAAAATGTACTCCAAGATTTGGGGCTGAGTATCTGAGCTATTTTTGGTGTGAAGGCCAACTGGGAAAATCTTGCTGAATGCCTTTCCTGACCAGATACCATTTTGCCTCATGTCAACTCCAGAAAAAAGGCCTGAAGCTGTGTAATTCAAAATAATTTTTAAGACTAAAGAACTGTATCAATTGGGGCTGGGTGAGTTTTGCTGTTGGGCCCTACTGATTGTGCATAACTAAGAATGTTCTATTGTAACTTGTCAAATCACTTAAGTTATAGAAAACTAGCAAAGATATCCTCTAGTAACAAATAGTGCACATGAGTGGAATAGGGGTATGTGTGGTGTGGGTGGCTTGTTCAGGACCTCATCTTTCTGTTGTGGCCAGGATTTCAATGGTATGATCAGAAACTATAATTGCCAAGACAGGCATCCATGCAGCTGCATGGACAGGTGGAACCTACGAGTTGGAATCCTCAAGGAGTCAGTTGATGCACAGTCTAGCCTCATACACAAGTATGCTTTAGGCAAGTCAAAAAAGGTGCCTGAAAGCTGTGGGTGATTGCCCACTGGGTACTGGTACTCAAACTTGGGGACTCTTTGAAATATGTGAAAAGAGGCACCACATGTGAAAGTTGATCATAAGAATTGGGTCATTCTTGTCACAACCAACTAAAACAGAGTTGAAGCGAAAAGGCATTCAGGGTACAAAACATTGCTCCAAGTAACTCTTTGCAAGCCTAACTGGTAAAACTGCTTGTTGTGAGCTAAAACCAGTTTTTTTCTATAGCTTCTGAGATAACTTGCTGAAACTCTGGGACTAATTTCGCCTACCACTGTAACTCACCAATTGGAGCTTACCAACTCCCCAAACCCTTACTAGTGTCAAAGAACTTTCTCAAAGAGCAATACGTAACATTTCTCCTTTTAATAAAACCTTTAACCTTCTCTTTGTTATTGAGACATACCAAAGACCACCTGGTCTGCATGTATGCCCTACCATGCAATTCTTTCTTCCCAAGTAAAACATTAAGTTTAGAGATTAGTCTCTTCATTTTTATTTTGACTCTGACCCTTACTACAGGCTAGATTTGCTGCTAAACAGGCCTGTCAGCACTTGTCCAATGTATTTTGGATATTTGATGATGTGACCTTATTTGGAAGTCGGATTTGTTGAGAAATCTACCTGTATTTTGTACTTGGCATCTGTGCTTTGGGGCTTTGTCTTATTCCTCTACCGGCCTCACTAGTTATTAATATCAACCAAAATTTAAGAGAATTTAAGAGGGCTGACTGTGACCTTGAAAGCTTAGATTCTAATCTTGGCTCAGTCTTTTCACAAAGGTGTGATTTTAGATTTCTTAACCTGAGTATGAAATAAGAAGCATAATATACCTGACAAATAGTTCTCTTCTTACATTAATTGAAATATTATAGATAATGCATTTGGTATTTCTCCTGATATATAGTAAATGATCAGTTATTAGTAATCATTGATTGTATTTTATATTGCCTGAAATCGACAGTACAATGTTTTGTATATGATAGCTATTTAATAAGTATTTCTTTTTGATAAGAACTGTATTCTGATGACATCAACCTGAAAGAGATGTATGTTTGACTGACTGGATTGAGGAAAAGGGTGTATTTTAGAAAGACAATCTTTTTAAACCCAAACTGTTTTTATTCTAAGCAGCAAAATGTTTCCAGAAATATTTGAGACAGTACGAAAGAAGATTGTATATTTGATGGAAAATGATGAGATTTGTAGCTAAAAAACATGGAGCACCTTCAAAGTGTTCAGAAAATTTATTGCCCTATACATTTGGAACTAAGCTGATCAGCAAGCTTAAACAGTATATTTATATGTACTTCCAATGTAAGCATACTGATATCTCTTGCACCTTGAGTAGATTTTCTTCCTCTTAGTCTTTTGATAGTTAGGAGGGAAAAGAAAATAACTTCAAGTGCCATTTTATAGTTTTATTGCTTAGGTATTTCATTCGACTTCTTCAGGCTCAGCTTCCAAAGATTCATTCATCTAAATCAGCCTTAGGCTTCACTTATCTCTAATCCCCCCAAAATCATGTTCAGACTGATGCCATAAAGCAGAGATCTCACTTTAAATTTATTTAACCTTCCATTTCAGAAGTTACAATGTGATTTTTTTTATTCTGCTCAAGCAATCACAAATTTTAAGTTTCTTTGAGTTTGTTCTTTAGTGGAAGCCTTTAGGATGCACTTAGAAAACCCCATTACAAGTAAGAGTGGCAAGCAAATAGGACACATTTCCTCAGCATTCATGTGTTGCTATCCTAGGGCTTACCCACCTTGCTAAAGTGTTCATGACATACTATTTTTTTAAAAATTGCTCCTGCCTTGAAATGTAGTGCTCATTCTTATTTAGCTTATATTTTCTCTTTTAAATGTGCCTATACATAACTCTCATGAATTCTTATCAACTAACTTGCACATCAGTTCTGATCTTCCTGTTTCTTAGATATCTCTCAATCAGAATTTATCTGATTAATAAGTGAGTTGAAGAAATTGCTTTTGATAATTTTATTATTGAATGCTTATTTTTATGAAAAATGTTTGCTCAGTATAAAGCACTGCAACACATAGAGTAAAAATTTCCTTCTTTACAGTAAAATATGGACTTCTGTTTTTCTTTGTGTTTAATAGAAAAAAATACTAGCTATTCAAGTGCCAAAAATGGTCAATGTGACTCAGAGTTTCCTAATCTAACTGTAAATTCTCCAACACAAGGAAACTAACATTTGCCCTCCCAAACACTATGTACAAACAAAGTATGTCTTTGTGAAATAAATTATATTAGTACAGATAGGATGTAAGCTTGGTCCATAATGAAAATATAGATTTTTGAGCTGTTTTTGTCATCTCTCCTATTTAAAAAAAACTTTTGAGAGGAAGCATTTGAAATGTGGTGTTCTGCCTTTGTCAACACTGTATTACAATGTTCTCCTGTCCTACATTTATTCAGATTTATTAGCTAGAAATTTGAATATGTTCACCTGTATATCCTTGTTATTAACAATTATTAGAATAATTGTTCTTCTAATTAACAATTAGAAGAATGTTTTCAATATATATTGAAATCTTTCTATTGAAACAATTTTAAAAAGGTGATTTGCAGCCAAAATGGAAAGCTATTTAATTGCACAAATTGGTAGACAGGAATCAAAAAATTATGATAACTTCAAGAAATAGAACAGAAATTCTAGGACTCTACCAATCATTATGAATAAACCTACCAAGAAAAGGCAGCTTCAAGTTCAACTGTCCATGATGATACAGACTAAAGAAGAAGCATGCCTGCTTTTCCATGGCAACTTTCCCATATGTTCTCATTATTTTTGTTTTCTTAGGACATTTCTCTTCTGGAAGTGGCTATGGAAAAAGCGACATGCTATGGTAGACATGCAGGGTCTCAGAATACTTGAGTCTTGGCTTTGCCACATTTAGGTCATGTCATGCCTGTTACCTATTTGTAAAATTATACCTGTCCCATCTACCTTAATAAATTGTTATAAGGATCAAATGACATGTACTTTATGCAAATTCCTTGAACATTATAAATTGCTATAAAAATATGAGGAATTATTATTCTGCACGAAGCTTTTCCCAATATTGAATCTTAGTAATTTTCAACTTGTTAAGTCAAATAATTAGGTATCGATTAAATATACTCGAGGCATTATTACTTTTTGCTAAATGCTTCTATCATGATCCCTACCTTTTGATTAGCTTCTCTCAAACCCCTTCTGGGCTTGGATATGTGACTTGCTTTGGCATATCTGATATGAGTAGGCATGACGAAAGCAGAGGATTGAAATGTTCTTTTGCATTAGTCTTGCCCTCTTGATGTTCTGCCATCACCATGATAAAAGCTGGTCCAGCTAGCCCAGATAGCCTGCGGGTCTCAGAAGAATTAGGGGCATGTGAAGCAGACCTCAACCAATCTGAGCCCTGGAGATAAAGCCCAGATTAAACCAGCCTAAATCATCTGAATGCCAAACAATTCACAGATGTGAGAATGTAAAATTAATGTTTCTTACTATAAGCCACAGAGTGGAATGACTTGTTAGGCAAAATTATGGTGAGTATATATTACTCATACAGAAATGCATACTAGAGGCAGGAGAGTGCCATCACAGAAACTTAATTATTGTGTTTGTTTGTTTGTTTGTTTGTTTGTTTTGGAACCAGGTAGCAGGCAATAAGGAAGCTCACTTAGAAGACTGGGATAAAGGCAATTTGTATTATTTAGAGGCAATGCGTTTTGGTAAAAGAGTTGCTTGACATAATGTGTAAGATATGAAATGAACAGAATGACCATTTACACTGGGTGAGGGAATTTTCTAGGCAGATGGCTAAAAGCATAAACTGATTGCTGCCAGTTACGTATAATAAGGCACTAAAAGAGAAAGATGAGAAAGTGGAAAACTGGGTGATATACAAACAAAAAATGATGTTATGACACAGCTTCAGGTTAAAAATCAAACAAATTTAGACTAATGCCCATAAGACATAGCGAACAAAATAAAACTTTATGGGTCCAAGGTATGTATAATTAAGTCTTGAGAGAGAGGCATGTAGATGTGTGGCTTTAGAACATGGCAATCCTGTGTTTAAAGCCAGTACATAGAAAATTCAAAAAATATACACTCTTACAGATTTTAAAAGATTACAGAAAATCTAAATTTCAACTGGCAAGCATTGAATACAAATTATAGGAGGCCATGGTTTTGGACTAAACTCCCACATTAGGCACCTACAGACTAGACTAAAAATCAAAATGGGGTCACCCATGCTTAAGTTCCATATCCCCAATCCCAAAGTAAGTTGTTATCTGACCTTTCAAGAAATCAGATGTTTGCAGATGACATCCTATATAGAGAAAATCCCACTGTCTCAGCCCAAAAGCTTCTTAAGCTGATAAACAACTTCAGCAAAGTCTCAGGATACAAAATCAATGTGAAAAAATCGCTAGCATTCCTATACACCAACAACAGGCAAGCTGAGAGCCCAATCATGAACAAACTCCCATTTACAATTGCCACAAAAAGAATAAAATACCTGGGAATACAACTAACAAGGGAAGTGAAAGATCTTTACAAGGAGAACTACAAAACACTGCTCAAATAAATCCGAGGTGACAAAAACAAATGTAAAAACATTCCATGCTCATGGATAGGAAGAATCAATATCATTAAAATGGCCATACTGCCCAAAGCAATTTATAGATTCAATGCTATTCCCACTAAACTACCTTTGACATTCTTCAGAGAACTAGAAAAAACTATTTTAAGATTCATATGGAACCAAAAAAGAGCCAAAATAGCCAAGGCAATCCTAAGCAAAAAGAACAAAGCTGCAAGCATCATCCAAACTGACTTCAAACTATACAGCAGGGCTATAGTAAACAAAACAGCATGATAGTGGTACAAGAACACATAGATCAGTGGAACAGAACAGAGAACCCAGAAATAAGACCACACAACTACAACTATTTGATTGTTGACAAACCTGACAAAAACAAGCAATGGGGAAAGAATTCCCTATTCAATAAATGGTGCTGGGACAACTGGTTAGCCATATGTAGAAAATTGGAACTAGACCCCTACCTTACACTGTATACGAAAAATCAACTCAAGATGGATTAAAGACTAAAATATAAAACCCAAAACTATAAAAACTCTCGAAGAAAACCTAGGCAATATCATTCAGGACATAGGCACGGGCAAAGATATCATGATGAAGATGCCAAAAGCAATTGCAACAAAAGCAACAACTGACAAATGGGATCTAATTAAACTAAAGAGCTTCTGAACAGCAAGGGAACCTATCAACATTGTAAACAAGCAACACACAGAATGGGAAAAAAATTGTGCAAAGTATGCATCTGACAAAGGTTTAATGTCCAGCATCTATATACAATTTAAACAAATATACAAGAAAAAAACCAAACACTCCCATTAAAAAAGTGGGTAAAGAACATGAACAGACACTTTTCAGAAGAAGGCATACGTGTGGCCAACAAGCGTGTGAAGAAAGCTTAACATCAGTGATCATTAGAGAGATGCAAATCAAAACCACAATGAGGTATCATCTCATACCAGTCAGAATGAGATAATAGCCAATTTCCCAAACAGGGCAGTTTAAATCTTCAATTGTCATGATAATAAAATTTCCTCTACTTTAATCCTTACACAAAAAAGGTAGCCTAGTGTAACCTGATGTTACCTAATTTTTTGCGTTGTTATGTCTCCCCTTCCCTGCCTTACAAGAAAAGTAGCTTTAGTAGGACTAATAACACTATGTGTTACTTGTTTCTGCTTTCTTCAACCCTTCTCTGTCTATAAAGTCACTTCTTGTGCTCAACTCATCAGAACACTTATTCTGAAATGTATGGAATGAAGTGTTGCCTGATTCTAGAATTGCTAAAAAAGCCAATTAAGATTTTTAAACTAAATTTGTTGTAATTTTGTCTTGTGACAGAATTGATGACCAATCAAGGGACTTGATAAAGACTTCTGATAGCCCTGAGACCCCTTGAGGAACACACATAAAGGCACCACTAATCCCCTTTGTTGTGGGTGATGGTATTTTTTCTTCCTCATGGGGCCCAGAGAGCCCCAAATGCCTCTCAGGTGTGAGCTCTGCTGTTTTTTGCGTTTGAACCCTCTGATCTTTTTGTAATCATCTAACAGGTTCTTCCTGCCCACTGAACAGACAAAACCAATTCACTGAGACAATGCTATTGCAGTAAGAAAAGAATTTAATTAACATTATGCCAGCCACATGGCAGATGAAGTTATTACTTAAATCAGTCTCCCCGAAGGCTCAGAAGTTAGGGTTTTTGATGAATAATTTGGTGAGCAGGGGGCTAGGAAATGGGTGCTGCTGATTGGTTGGAGATGGAATCATAGGGGTGTGGGAAACAGTCTTCATGCGCTAAGTCTGCCTCTGAGTTGGGGCGGGGGTCGGGGTCGGGGTGCACAGGACCAGTTGAGTCATGAATCACAAGTCTAGTTGGGGTCAGTCTGTTGCCAGAATTCAAAAGTCTTAAAAACATCTCCAAAAGATCAATCTTAGGTTCTAAAATAGTGATGTTATCTATGCAATAGTGAGGGAGTTCTCATGAGATCTGATGGTTTAAAAGTGGCAGTTTTCCCTGCACACTCTCTCTCTCTTCTTCCACCAAGTAAGATGCACCTTGCTTCCCCTTCACCTTATGCCATGATTTTAAGTTTCCTGAGGTGTCCCCAGGCATGTGGAACTGTGAGTCAATTAAAACCCCTTTCTTTATAAATTACCCAGTCTCAGTAATTTTATGGCAGTGTGAGAATGAACTAATACAACAGTCTATTCACTCTCTGTCTGAATTACATTTTTTCCCCTGAAAAGAAATGTTAAACACTCTCCTTATGATAGAACCACACAAAAATTCAGGAGGTAATCCCCAAGTGACTTACCCTCCCTAGAAAAAAACTGAGTTCAAAGCCATAGTTAAAAATTTTCTTAAACTTACAGAAAACCTTCAAAAGTTTTCTAAAGAATTGAGGGCCTTAATTGTAACTTTTCAACCTGAAATACCTGACCTCTGCTAACCATACAACATGTTGGTGAGAACTGGGGAGTTCCAAAAAGGATAAAAAAGGCAGAATAGTGTTCTCCTGAGAATAGTATTAAGGACCCAATTGCAAATGATTTTTTGAAAGCCATTCCCGGCCGGGCACGGTGGCTCATACCTGTAATCCCAGCACTTTGTGAGGCCGAGGCGGGCGGATCACAAGGTCGGGAGTTCGAGACCAGCCTGACCAACATGGCGAAACCCCGTCTCTACTGAAAATACAAAAAAAAAAAATTAGCCAGGCGTGGTGGTGGGCGCCTGTAATTCCAGCTACTCAGGAGGCTGAGGCAGGAGAATTGCTTGAACCCAGGAAGCAGAAGTTGCAGTGAGCCAAGATCGTGCCATTGTACTCCAACCTGTGCAATAAGAGCAAGACTCCATCTCAAAAAAAAAAAAAAAAAAAAAAAGAAAGCCATTCCCAAAGTGTTTCAGCTCCATGGCAATTAACAACTGAGAATGACTTTTAGGCCTGCCCTAGGCCGCTTGTCCAATAAGCAACCCATAAAACAACAGTTTCTAAAGAATTTTTGCCATTTGTGCAAACAACCAGTAAATTGGAAAAGGGACTACCCCAAAGTTTTCAAAGAAAGCCCCTGAAAACAGGCTACTACCCTCTGATAATCTCCGTGATAAACACCAGGACTGAGTGGCCTCCAAGGGAAGCTCCTGCAAGTTTCTATTGGTTATGCTTTGCCCTGCTTGTTAAAGGGCTCAGCCTTGAAGTTGGTAATTTAATGTAAAAATAAGCAACATTAAAGTGACCACTATTAAACTGAATGGTCTCCAAAATACAACTTTCTGACATTTATCTAGCTATTTTGAAACTCTTTGTAGAAGATATTTACACCTATAAAGGCAATCTCCATTTATAAGGGCATTTCACTCTCTGCACCTAAAACACTAGAAACTTTTACAATGGAAAATACATTGGTTTAAAATTTATACAACAAACCTTACCTTTCTTTAAGGTACATTTCCTAGTCGGCTTGTCTTAATTGGGCCTTTATCTACACCTTTCTTTTTTCTGCAACTAATAGTGTTTAGATCTATGTTCTGTAAATTTGACTACATGGTTTCATCCGGGATGTTTGTCTAAAGGAGGGAAACTGTTTGAAAAATGACAAAGAATCTTATTGGAGCTATAAGATGTGCATCTGAAACTGCCTTTGAAAAAATTATAACTGAGGAAATTATGACAGTGAAAGAGATCAGACCTAACCAACTATATCTTGCTTCTAACCTTTAAGCTTTCCTTGTTCATTCCTGGGTGTAGGCAGAACTAACTTTGGAAAGGAATTCAGTTCATAGTTTGAAACAAAATTGATGATAGCCCTTTCCTGAAAAGAGCTCCTTTTGTCTTGGGGACTAGTCTGCCTTCTCAGGACTAACAAATTGGCTACGAGATTAGAAATTACAGTTTAGGGGTAATGCAGCCTCTGGCTCCAAGAGTCTTGTAAAACCTAAGAACAGTGCTTGAGCTATTTTGCAGACCCTGCACTGGATGGATTATCTGACACCACCCAGGTCAGTAATCTGGCTCAACCAGTTCTGCCATCCTACCCAAGAACAGAGGACGGCAAGAAAAACTCACTTCAACCCCCTATGATTCCATCTCCAACCTGACCAATCAGCACTCCCCACTTCCCAAGCCCCTACCTGCCAAATTATCTTTAAAAACTCTGTTACCTAAATGTTCAAGGAGACTGATATGAGGAATAATAAAATTCCTGTCTCCTACACAGCTGGCTCTGTGTGAATTACTCTTTCTCCCTTGCAATTCCCCTGTTTTAATAAATCAGCTCTGTCTCTGCAGCGGGCAAGGTGATTGTGTTGGGCGGTTACACTTCTGCCTGAGTGTCTGTATGTCTACATGTGTTATGTATATGTGATACTTTTCTGCCAAAATGTGTGAGAGAGCTCTAATTAATTTACTTAAAGAAAAAAGTAAGTGCTTAAATAACATGTTTTACCATAAAAAAAGAACCTAACTCAAATGCTTTGGTTCGTGTGACTTGGGTAAAATTTTGGTAAATAAGACTGGAAAAGAGCTGTGTCTTCTGATCAGAAAACAACATATATTTGACTTTAGGAGGTGGTGACTGCCTAACTTTTACATGCTGTAGAAAATGGCTAAGAGGGAAATAGGTTAAGATGATGTAAACCAAAAATAAAATTCTAAGATTCCCCCCAACCTACAGATAGATACCCCCTTTAGTCCAAGGGCATTTGAAAGTAAAATTGAAAATCTAGTTCAGGATCTGACATGCCTCATTATACCCTCTTCTCTTTGGAATTCAGGAACAACTGACCAGCATTAACATTAAAACTGAGATCTTAAGACTGACAAAACAGACTTTTTATAGCAATAAGACACCCAATTCAAGCCTGAATCTAGTATAGCATCACATAACAGAAAGCAAGCCCTGAAAGAAGTATTTTACCCCTAAATATATTTATTTGACATATTTTGAAATGGCCCTGCAAAGCTGTTTCTTGTGAAGAAAACCTACATTCTGTACAGAATCCCCTTTCCTTTCCAGGTCTTTCCTCTGATCCAGGAGAGAATTAATTAAGACTCAGGCAACTTTTTAGGTCTAATTACAGCTCTGAAGACTGCTACCTGGAGGTTTCATTTGCATGATAAAACCTTGGTCTCCAGAAACCCTTATCTTAACCCTTTCTACTGATTCCAGCTCTTTAGATAATATCTCTTTCAACTAATTGCCAATCAGAAAATCTTTGAATCTTCCTATGACCTGGAAGCCCCCAACTCCCTGTTTCTAGTTGTTCTGCCTTTCCAGAATTCTGGGTGAACCAATGTACATCTTACATGTATTGAATGATGTCTTATGTCTCCCTAAAATGTATAAAACCAATCTGTAGCCTAATCACCTTGGGCACGTGTTCTCAGAATCTCCTGGGGCTGTGTTTTGGGCCATTTCTCACTCATATTTGGCTCAGGATAAATCTCTTCAAATATTTTACAGAGTTTGAGTCTTTTTTAATCAACAATAATGGCTAGTTTTGTTTCACGTCTCATAAAATTTGCCAAAAGAGTTCTAACATAATTGTTAAAAATCAGTATATTAGGTAAGTATCAATGGCATAAACATTCATAAATTCTTCATAATTTAAAAGCAATTTTTTTTTGATAATGTAAACTCCAAATATCTGAGACAGGTCCCAGTCAATTTAGAAAGTTTATTTTGCCAAGGTTAAGGATGCAATCTCAGGAGGTCCTGACAGCATGCGCCCAAGGTCGTAGGGGCACAGCTTGGTTTTATACATTTAGGGAGACATGAGACATCAATATATGTAAGAGGAACATTGGTTCAGTCTGGAAAGGTGGAACAACTGGAAGCAAAGGCAAAGGCGGGACAACTTGAAGTGGGGAGGGTGCTTCCAGATCACAGGTAGATAAGAGAAAAAGGGTTGCATTCTTTTGAGGTTCTAATTAGTCTTTCCAAAGGAGGCAGACAGGTACGCATTTATCTCAGTGAGCAGAGGGATGACTTTGAATAGAATGGAAGGCAGGTTTGCCCTAAGCAGTTCCCAGCTTGACTTCTCCCTTTAGCTCAGTAATTTTGGGTCCCAAGATTTGTTTTTCTTTCACAGTACCATGAAACGTTAAAGTGAAATTGAGTAATAGGTACTCATTAAATGTCTGGGTCATTTTCTAAAAAAGTTAAAATACGAAAACATTTTGATTAAGCCTAAGTGTAAAGTTTATATACTTTGGCATTTTGTTTTTATATGGTATAGAGCAGCTAAATATTTGAGTCTATAAGTAAAGATTTTTTTAAAAATTGTTCTGTGAGGAAGTGCATGTTTCTAAATATTGTAAAATATGCATTTAAAAAATGTTGGTTTGATAGAGTTCAAAATTGCTTATTTCCTAGGTTGTCACAAAAAATTAAAGTTACTGAGAGTTAAGAATTCTAACTATATGTGTAATTAAAACTACTAGAAGTAGGGGGAAAATTCTGTATGCAAAGTATAGAAGGAAAGTAAGATGTGTTTTTGCTGAGAAAAATTGTAAAAAATAGAAGGATATATTTTTGTTTAGAAAGAGCATTTTTTTAATTCAGAGATTATTACAGATTGTTCCAAAATACAGAATTGGGAAGGAAATAGAAACAAGGCAGGAAGGTACTAGTTAGTAGGAGAGATGTGAAAAGAAGTTATAAGTATGAGGAGGCATTATTGGTAAAGAGGGATGAAAAGTGAGAGTAATATTTACTTTTGTATGAGAGAAAACTTTGCATGGTTAAAATGATGAGGAAGAAGGGAAAATAGGTGTTTGTCCTAATATGCCAGGCCAGGTCTCCATTAGCAACCAGAGCCGTCAGCCTTTACCAGCACCTTAGTGTCACTCTGATGAATGTATAAGTTAAACATTAAAGAACTGGAGAAACTGGTGCCTTAGTACAGAGGCTAGAATGTAAAAACAAGTCCATTAAGATACTGTCTGGGCTTTCTCAGACCTTAGAATTTAATTAAAATAATGGAGACATACTTGCACACCATGTACCAGGACCCACTTTAGATTAAGTAATTTTTCCAAGTCTCTGAAGTAATTGTCCAGACCCTGGACCCTAGTTAAAGATGAGATAGAGTGAAACACTTTGGCTTTCGGCTTGTAGGTGCACTGAATGTATATAAGCACTAGGAAAAACTTGTAACTTTGAGTTGGTCTGGTGGGTTACTCCAACCTCCTCCCTGTAACCAGCTACAGAAATGAACTCCCTTCTTTCCCAGTCTGTCTGCATCTTGTTATTGAACCGTGAGAGCAAGCAGCCGGACCTTGTTCTGTCCAGGAACAAATCTAGCAAGCCAGACAGGAGGGAGCTGCCCTCAGTGGCCAGCCTCTTGCAACGAGATGGTCACTGGGAAACTCCCAGCACCTGCCAGGTACAGTTTGTCCTGAGCTTACCTGATGCAAAGACTGCCCATCCTTCTATTGCTGGGTAAGGGCAGAGGTTAGGAGCAAACATGCTTGAAGGATCATTCAAACTGGATTGTAAGTGGATTGTAAGCCAGAAGACTATTATTTCCTCTATTTGGGCTCACGTAGCCATTTGTTTTGGTACCATTGAGAAAGCAATATGACTTGTTTGTGTAACTGCTTTGCATTTGTTTGAGGATTCATTTGCATTTGTTTGTGAAAATTTGTTCTGTTTGTCTGATATTTGTTAAGTTTAGAGTACTCACTATGGGCAACACTGCATCTATTCCTACAAATAGTCCTCTGGGGAGAATTTTGTCAGATTGGAAGCACTTTGGTTATCCACCCATGACTAAAAAAATAATCTATTGTAGCAGAGCTTGGTCAATGTATGTTTTGGGGTCTGTGAAATGGTGGCCAGTTTTGGATCTCTAAATTTTCATACCCTCTATCAATTAGAATTGTTCTGCCAGAGGTCAGGAAAATGAGGCAAAATACATTATGTCCAGGCATTTATGTTACTGCTTAATAAGGATGGTAAAGAAAATGGAAATAAGCTAATGGTGCAGTACACTGCTAAAGTCTGTCCCGACTCCCAAGGGGAGAGAGAAAAAACCTCTGAAATCCAACAGTTAATGAACACTCTAAACCCCATAGTGGCTGCCCTCCCATCTCAGGAAAGAGAAGGAATGTCACTGCCAGAGTACAGGGAAGTAGCAGAGCTACTGTCTTCTTCTCGGACTAACCAAGGTACTAATTTTGGCTGGGGAGTCACCGAGTCCAAAGCAGGGCTATTCCCACTACGATAATACCCAGTAGGAGTCAATCAGCAAGGAGTTCCAGCCAGATGTTATTGGGCCTATAATACCACTATATTTGCTACACAATGTCCCACCTAAGATGTGCAGGCTCTCCTAAACATTAAGGTATCTGGTTTTAAATAAAGCAAAGGAAGAGGCGCAACATCTTCATAATGAAAATCCAAATGACACTCCAGATCCTGACAGGGCGATTCACCACATGGACCCAAATTGGGATATTGTAGAGGACGTACATCGCAGTGTAACTAACATGTATACTAAGTTCCCTTATTTTCCTGGAGATCATAAAGGGTTTATACTATTGGATTTAAAAGATGCTTTCTTTTGCATTCTCATAGACACAGAAAGTCAATTGTTGTTTAACTTTGAATGGACAGATCTTGAAGCCGCAATGCAGTTTCAATATTGCTGGACTGTACTCCCACCAGGATTTAAAAACTCTCCGACTACATTTGGAAAAGCCTTCGTTTGAAATTTAAGGAGTTTAAGATTGGGAAATGGAATACTGTTACAATATTTGGATAATTTACTAATAGCTACCCCATGTGAATGGGAATATCACAATAATACTATTAAAACTTTGGACCATCTAGCAACCTGTGGGTATAAGGTTTCAAGTAAAAAGGCTCAAATATGCCAACAAACTGTGCAATACTTAAGTTTTTTCTTACAGAAGGGAACCAGAGCTCTAACAATGGAAAGGTAAAATACAATCACTTCCATTGCAGCACCCACTACCAGAAGGTTGCTGAGAGGATTTCTAGATGTGGCAGGGTTTTGTCTATTGGATATGGATTCCTAACCATGGACTACTGGTAAAGCCACTGTTTGAACTGTTTAAAGGAGCTAACAATAACATCTTTGACTGGGAGCAAAACACCAGCATGCATTCAAACAACTGAAACATAAGTTAACCCCCACCCTAGCCCTGGGGCTCCCAAATCCTCATAAGCCATTTCAACTGTGTATGCATGAGAGACTGGGTCTAGTGCTCGGGGTCCTTATGCAGAAGTTAGGAGAAATAAGACAGCTGGTGGCCTACTTTTCTAAACAGCTGGACACAGTGGCTACAGGCTGGCCCCCCTGTCTGAGAGCACTTGCCACCAACTGCCTATTATTAAAGCAGGCTGAAAAGCTAACCTTGAGAAAGCCTATTACAATCTACATGCCTCATCAGGTACTAGTGCTACTTTAGCAAAAGAGAGGCTATTGACTGACAGCTGATGGGTTAGGCAAATACCAGGGCAGACTCTTAGATGACCCCACTATGAAATTACAAACCACCAGAGCTCTAAACCCAGCTACATTACTACATCCTACCAAGGAATCAGAGGACCCCATGCGTAATTGTTTGGAAATCATTATCAAGTGTTTTCCAGCTGCCCTGATTTAAAGGATACGGACTTGCTGCATGCAGACTGGATATTGTTTGTGGATGGGAACAGCCTGGTAGCCAATGGGAAAAGAAATGCTGCATATGCCATGGCAACCTTTTCAGAGGTAATAGAAGCAAAGATTGTACCAATGGGAACCTCTGCACAGAAGGCAGAACTGATTATCCTTGTGAGAGACTTGCAGTTGTCCCAAGTATACAAGGCACATGGAATAAATTGGAGACTACAGTCAGCATGGAGACCACAATCTTCTGGACAGACTAAAAGTATAAATCAAACACTAAAAACAATTATTGCCAAACTGCGCCAGGAAATTCAACCAAGATAGGCTCAGGTAGTTGGCATTGCACTGCTCCAGGTAAAAGTGACCCTCAGAAGTAGGAGTAAGTTAAGTCCCTATGAAATTATATATTACGAGAACCTTTGCCGCTAATCTGTCTCTGGTTACTAGGGTGGTCCTTAATAGAAAGTCAACTATTAAGCAGGATGTTGCTCATTTGGGACAAATTCTTAACATTTTGCATAAGCTTGCTTCCATCTGGAGCATTGTCTGGTGATCAAGTACTGCTAAAGAATGGAGGGCCCAACTCAACAACTACAGGAGAAATGGGAAGGACCCTACAACGTGTTGCTGACCACCAATTCGGCACTGAAACTGGTGGGCATCAAGCCACCACATATGGGTAAAGAAGTTTCTACTAGATGAAACATCCATGACAGAGGACACCAAGGCCCCCAAATGGGAGTTGGAACCCATGGAAGGCCTAAGGTTTCTGTTCAAAAGATGATAAGCTATTCTTTTATAATATTTTTCTTCACTGTTCCTCTTGTTGTTTCTGCTTACACCTCTAACCTTTTCCTATAATGGGCACAAGAATATGCAGATAGCCTACAGCAAGACTCTTGCTGGATCTATTACCCCTCTCTAGTACCACAGGACTGCTTTGGTGGGTCTCCCCCCATACAAGGAAAATTGGGTTACTTCCTAGAAAATCATAAAAAATGGGCAGGGTCGCAGGTGAGGGGGATAACTAGAAAAAAAGTATTTCTGAATGGCCTATAAATAAAACTTTAAATAATCCAGGGCACAGGTTCCTTCTTGAGCTATAGGTAAAACTGAATGTTGTATGTATATTCCCAATAACTCAGAAAACATTTATTTAGCTTTAAAGAATATGAACCAACAGATTGAAGCCCTCTATAGCTCTGCACTGTCTCTCAATAAATTAATAGCATCTTGGTTGGGTGAAGGACCTTCTTGGTGGCAGAAAATTCTGGTTGTCCTAGCCACCCTCTTGGGCATAGGCATAGGCATAACACCATGTTGTGGACTATATTGTTGTTGTACGCTGTTCCAAAACATTCCCTGAGCTCATAAAATCATGTTTCAACAGGCACTGGCTTTGAGTCCCCGAAACCAAGAACACTACCAATGGCAAGTAGATATTTAACACTCCAATGTCTCTTGACGATGACCCTCTTCAGTAGGAAGTAGCCAGAGAGAATAAGTCATCCACCTGCCCTTACTGCTATTATATTATAGCTTATACTCTGTACTAACCCATAATAGATTAATGCTTGAAACTAACATGATGGAAATCATGCACAAATTGACAGTGATGATTGTGGCAGGCCGGGTCTCCATCAGCAACCAGAGCCGCCAGCCTTTACTGACACCTTACTGTAACTCTGATGAATGTATAAGTTAAACATTAAAGAAATGGAGAAACTGGTGCATTAGTACAAAGGCTAGGATATAAAAACAAGCCCGTTAAGACCCCACCTGGGCTTTCTCAGACCTTTGAGTTTAATTAAAATAATGGAGGCATTCTTGCACACTTTGTACCAGGACCCACTTTAAGTAATTTTTCCAAATCTCTGAAGTAATTGTCTAAACAGACCCCAGACTCCAGATGAAGATTACACAGAGTGAAACACTTTGGCTTTCAGCTTGTAGGTGCACTGAATGTATATAAACCATAGGAAAAACTTGTAATTTTGAGTTGGTATGGTGAGTTACTCCAACCTTCTCCCTGTAACTGGTTGCAGAAATGAACTCCCTTCTTTCCCAGTCTGTCTGCATCTCGTTATTGGACTTCAAGAATAAGCAGTCAGACCCCATTCTGTCTGGGAACAATAAGGTAGAATGCCAAGATGTTTTTTATAAAAGAAGTATAAGACAAAACCGAACGTTTAAGCAAGTTGTAGAAGATTTGTGGAAGATAAATGTCATGAAAGAAATTTTATGTGTGATCAAGATGGGTAAAATGAGAAGGGAATTATTTATGTTTCTTTCTAGAAATTGAATGTTAATATCAAAATACACTAATGCAAGGATAAAGTTTGAGCCCATGTGTTGGAACAACAGAATTTTTTCAGAGCATTGAAACGCTCTTTAAGAGGAAATTTTGAGAGGTCTATTTTTACTTTTTAGATAACTGGCCTAGGAGGCAGAGATTCTATTTTTTAAGATAATTTATTGTGCTTTGTGGCTTTAAATATTTTAGCAGTTTGGTTTGATTTCCTAGTGACCTATGATCCTATTTTGATCAAATGTTTTAAATCTTTGATATTTGACAAACTTCTCAAAAATCAATGTTAAATCATTTTAATCTCCAAGCAAAGTTGGGACATTCCAGTGATACCTGGAATTTCTCCAAGGATCTGTAAAAGAGAGATATTAAACCTGTTGATTTAATGTGATACGTTAAATTACATGGGAAGCATTGACAAAATAAAAAATGATGTTTAAGCTTCTACAAGTTATATTAATATAAATATGTTATTAATATGTGTTCTAAAACTGTATAAAGTTCCTAGAAATCTAATATAACTTGGTAGAGATGCTATTAGTCATAATTTTGCTTTAGAAATAACAAAATGTCTTGGCAATTGTGTTATTATTATAATGAACTCTCATCAGGTTTTTAGCCATGTCCATTGTAATTCTTGATGTCTACTGTGAATTCCTTTATTCTTATGCTTTTCTGAAAGCTTCTTGCAAGCAATTATAATCCTGAAGTTTTCTGTCTTTAAGCAGCTTCATGGAAAGAATAAAAAAACCTCTGAAAAGTACAAGTTTCTAATAAGTTTACTTGAATTTTCAAAATTCTAATGAAGAAACTGATGGGTTTGTTAAACTGCTAAACAAGAACAGAGCTAGAATTAATTACATGAGACAATAAACTGATGACCAAAAAATGGGCTTTTAAGGCTTCATTTCAAACCTTGCTGGTTCTGTTAGTGTTTTCTTTTCAAGATTTAAGAAGCTGTTTCCTTTAATCTCTCTATAGCTTACAAAAATTTGGAAAAACATACTTTTCTAAACAAAAATTGAAACATTTTCTTTTCCTCTCTCCTTGGTCTCTTCAGAATTCAGAAAGTATTTGTGAGTATTCTTATTTTTATGGCAATATGATTATTTGTATAAGTTCAATACAAAATATGTTTTTTTATAACAAGATACTCTTGAAAACATTGTTATATTGCCAAGGCTTTGACTGGAACGTTATATTTGAAAATTTCCCATTTGAGAATGCCTGGCTTCAAAAATTTCTGGCCTTAGAGTGAGTGGGCAAAAGTTTTCACTTCCTGGAAGGCTCAGAAACATCAAGACATTAGATACAGAATGAAACATTGAATGTCTGCCTTGGTTTGGCTTATTAGCATTGAGAGATTTTTAAAAGTTCAATCTGAAATTCCTTGTCAAAACTTCCAGCATGGCAAATTTTAAAGGGATGTATTTAATTATTCTTGCCACATAAATACATAAATAATCAGGCTAAATTTGACACTAAATTTATTTTGCAACCACTTTCGTCTTACTATGATCATCTTTGGTAGAAATGGGAGTCACTATAGAGATAAAAATTATTTTCCAAAAGAAAACTCAGTACACCTGTTATTAGATTGCAGTGCTGTTCATTGTTTTTTAGTTTTTCCTGTCTACTTATAGGTAACTGGATTCTAAATTCTAAATTCTTCTACTTTTCTCTAATATATGGCTACAACTTTCCAATGAAGAATGAAAACTGCTCAGTTACTGAAGCCCTATAAGCCAAAATTGGACAAATTTTATGTAAATTACAAGGAACAAGTCTCATGCCAGATCTGTGGGTTCCATAGAGTTCACCAGAATATCCTATGCCACAACTGGAGACATTTAAACTTCAAACCAATACAAGAAGTTGCTGACTTCATGCTGTGGACAGCATTTCCAAGACCATCAGAACAAGATTTTCTGTCATGTTGAGACTCTTACCCCTCTTAATATTTCCTTATGCCTGCCTCTTTCACTTGGCAGGAAAATGCTGTAGTTAAAATTTCACATTCAGTAGATTTAGCAAGTAACTTGTACTTCCTGCTTTAATTTAACCCAGTCATGGGATGCTAGATTACCTATTATTTTCATAGAGAGAAATCTATGCAGATGATGACCTTTATTGTCAACATGGATAAATACAGTGGGTATTATAGAGTGGACTACTTGGTTCAAATGTGTAAGCTCCTTGTCTGGTTATTTAATTTTAGTTGGCTTGGTTCACGGGGACGGTGGTTAAGAAGCATACTCCAAACTCTTGTTATTATCTTCCTGGTAGTCATAACAGTAGTCTTCCTGGTGTGCCGTATCCACCTAAAAAGTTTTGAATGTTTCTATATAGCCATCGGTCAAACATCAAATATTCTCTCTCTGGCTATAACAACAAAACTCAAAGAAATGCATAATAATGAGGAGGACACTGTAACCCATAAATGACATGCTAAGACAACAAACACAAAATTATGGTAACCAGGAGTAGCAATGATGTCCTATGGTGATGTCTCACCTAGGTGAGAACCTGGCAGAAAGAAGGGAATTGTAAAATAAAAATTTTAGGAGACCATTATTTTGGACTAAGCTTCTGCACTAGGCCTTAACAGACCAGACTAGAAATGAAAGTAGAGCCACCCGTGCTAAAGTTCTATGTTAACATACCCAAACTAAGTTCTTATGTGACCTTCTGAGAAATCAGGAAAAAAAGAGATAACAGCCAATTTTCCAAACAGGCAAGTTTAAATCTTCACTCAGCATAATGGAGTTCCCTTTGCTTAATCCTTACACAGAAAAGGCACGTGTTGGTGATCAGATGACCCCCAGAAAAACTGCAGATGCGTAAGTGAGATATAAATGATTATTCTTACATTCCACTGAGTTTTGGGTTAGTTTGCTTTATAGCAATATTAAGCTGACTGATAGAAGCATCATTGCTAGACTAAATTTTTATAAATCTGGAGGAATTTAATGGATTTCAAATTGTTGGCCTGTAAAATGAATGAAAAATATGTTCATAGTGGTAGCACATCGTGTGCTGGTATGAAAGGTTACCTAAGTTTTGAGTCAAAAGAGTAGGGTTCCAGAAACAGTATGTTTTTTTATATTGGGCTTTTATAAGTTCTCTCAACTTTTTTTTTTTTTTTTTACCATTTTGATATGTTAGTCTTTCTAATAAAATGATTTGCCTTTTAGTGACAGTATTGCATTTTTGATAAGATAAAGCACAATAACCTGAACTATCTGAAGAAACAAGCATCATAGAGCCATAATTGCTGTGTTAAAAGTTTTCCTAGAATAAACACAAAAAATAATTGAAATACCTATATAATAAGTAATATTAATTACATAGAGTTAATGGACTGGAGGAAAAGAAGCATTATAGTTATTAAACATGATATCTCAAATTGTTTCTGGTAGAAGGTATCCAAGTTACTGGCAGTGAATCTGTACGAGTCTACAGCAACAATTCTTGCCTCCTCAGAAGAAAGAATTTGACTGAGGAGCACAAGGCAGAAAAAGAGACCAAGGCAAATTTCAGAGCAGTAATGAAAGTTTATTTAAAAAGGATTTAGAACAGGAAAGAAAAAAATTATGCTGGGAAGAAAACCAAGTGGGCAACTTGAAGGACAAGCGCAGTGCTGAACCTTGATCCTAGGACTTTATAGGGTGGCCCAACTCTGGCATTTTGTGCCTCTTTCCCATGATTCTTTCCTTAGGCTGGGCTGCCTGCACGTGCAGTGCCCTCCTTATCCTTTGGAAGTGAGCACACACAGTGTATTTAGGAAGTTGTGCACATGCCCATCGGAGACTTTCTTCCCTTTTCCAGGGGAGTGCCACCAGAAGATCATACGCTACCATTTTCTCTCTTTTTCTTTGTCTTTTCTTTCTTTCTTTCTTTCTTTCTTTCTTTCTTTCTTTCTTTCTTTCTTTCTTTCTTTCTTTCTTTCTTTCTTTCCTTTCTTTCTTTCTTTCTTTCTTTCTTTCTTTCTTTCTTTCTTTCTTTCTTTCTTTCTTTTCTTTTCTTTTCTTTTCTTTTCTTTCTTTCTTTTTTTTTGAGACAGAATCTCGCTCTGTTGCCAGGCTGGAGTGCAATGGCGTGATCTTAGCTCACTGCAATCTCTGCCTCCTGGTTTCAAGTGATTCTCCTGCCTCAGCCTCTCAAGTATCTGGGATTACAAGTGTGTGCCATCACACCCAGCTAATTTTTGTATTTTCAGTGGAGACGGGGGGGTCTCACCATGTTGGCCAGGATGGTCTCGATCTCCTGACCTCATGATCTGCGCGCCTCAGCCTCCCAATGTGCTGGGATTACAGGCGCCAGCCACTGCGCCTGGCCCATTTTGTCTCTTAATGCACATGCCCAGGAAGTTGTTTCTCCCTGGAGCCTGCATTCAATTAACACTTAAGTGCAACAGGTGTGGACCATCAGGAACTGGCCTTCCCCTGGCACCAGCTGCCAATTATCATTTTCAGAGAGGCAATGTGATAATTGTCGAACCATCACCTGATTTTCCTGGTGGGTGGGGGAAGCCTTCCTCTGCCCTACTCATGCCTATCTAACTGTCTGTAACATTCCCCCTGTCAAGAGCCCAATACCCCACATCTTTGGGGTAAACTTGGTGGTCAGTGTTCTATAACTACCTCCCACTGACAAAGTGGTGGTGATTCTCTGGGTCTTGGCCTCTTGCTAGCTGTGAGGGCAGGAGGGTGACTCTGTGTGTTGGTGAAAGCAGTGTATAGCCAGGTCAAAGGGAGATGGGCAGGATTTCACATCCTTCCTGTCCCACTGATGGGCAGCCTAGGGGTCCCCTGTAGAAGGGTGCCTCTTGAAAATTTAGAGGACAGTATCCCTCACTGAGAATCTTCTGGAGCATGATGGCCTAAAGCAGAGGAGACAAATTAGGTTATTATAATTAGAAGAATGTTAAAATGAAATAAGGTAGTGAAAACAGCTCCAAAAAATCCTGAGGCAGTCAACACTACATGCTAAGGTAACTGGTAGCTATAGACATGCCTGCTAAAACTTGGATGCATTGAGCTGCTAGCCAATTCCAATGTGTGCCCGTAATTAGAATATTATCTAGATTTTTACATTACCCATCCTGTTTATTTCTTCTGAGCTGCAGCAAGAGATCACTGGTTGGTTCACAGGAATAAGCAGGGTTGTTCTAAAATGCAGACAAAAACTTAAAAACAACTGATGAGACTAGAATCTAATGATAGGTGTACCATAACTTTTGAAACATAATTTCTGTCTCTCTAGTCCTCATTTTTGTTAAAAACAAATCATGATAGGATTGATTTGTCCAAAAAATAAACTTTAGTCTTATTATACTTGGCCTCATTATTATCATAAAGTGCAACAAGAATAGTTATTTTTCACATAGGCTTTTAACTTGGCTTTGATGGAACTTTGTTCCATAGAAGGAATCTCAGATAAGACTTTTTTAAACCCCAGGCCGGCCATGGATTTGTACCATCAAATACCTAGTGGGGTAAATTTCTCTTCTCTTGAGGTCCCAAAATAACTTTGACCTCCTGATCTGTTAGAAAGTGACATTCTTTACTTACCACAGGTCAGCAACTCTGTACAGGACTGTGTAGACAAGGTATGAAGCCAGGTTTCCCAAGGGGTTTTTATTGGCTCTATAAGTCAAATTTGATTCCTTAAAGGAAAGCATGCCATTCCAGTGAAAGCCTTGGTAAGACAACCCTTTTCTCCAATTGTCCTGTTACAAAAGAAAACATTCTCATGCACTTATGCAAATAACCATATTGCCGTAAGTTAAGAATACTCACACATAGTTTCCAAATTATAGAGAAATCAGGTAGAGAGAAGCAAATATGCAACAAATTTTGTTCACAGGAATATCCTGTACTCAATTGCTACAATCTGTCAATTGCTCAAAAGAAAAGTTTCCTTGACTCTGAAAAACAAAGCAAAGGATCAGCAACATTTTAAACAAAAAGTCAAAAAAGATTACTTCAGTCTTCTGTTAATTCACTTCATTCAGTTAACTGCTATTCTGCTTTATATTCATGAACATTTTAGCTCTCCATGAGAGTCATGAAGGATTTTTCTTTTATTCTAATGTCACAATCTCCAAAGTTATCAGAAATCTGCATTTAAGAACACCTGTTAATGTTGTATAGCTGATTATAAAACCACCATTTAAAGAGGATTAAAACAAGACAACAATTGTCTATGAATGACCAAGAGTCTTAGGGCAGCCACAGTTAAAGAAACAATTGACAAAGAAATGTGTTACCTCTGTGGCACACAACAGTTTTACATAACAATTTTAATTATTAATAACATATACTAAGTTGTATTAGAATTCCATAGTTTTGGAGCACATACCAATAACATATTTATATGAATACAGCTCAGAGAAAGAACTCTTAGCAACTTTTGGTGAAAAACCTAGTTAGTAAGCAATTTTAATTATGTGCTTGGTTTGGAGCAGATAAGAGGTACAGATAAGATCTGACTCTTTTGAGAATAGCTAGGGGTGTGGCTAACTCCACATATCCCCAGGTCTTACCTACCTGTAAAGCAGGCAAGTTGTATAGTTAAGATTCATAGTGAAGCATTGAGGAGGTCTAATAACAATTAAATTGTATAACATTTATTGTATAAATTACCTTTCATGAATCCTTTCACGGCTTACACTGACCATCTTTGACATGCTCGGACATTCTGATTTGTCCTAAATATCCCTCTTTTTAAACAACCAGTCATTTTACTTTAGGACAATAAGATTCCTTCTTATATAAAATCTCTTTTCTTTATAACCTCTCTACCAAAAATACCTCTTTGCCTTTATAACCTTTGAATTAGGCAAAAGTCATTTTCCTTCTGTTAAAAAATTAAAGTTTGTACTGCACATTGCTATGCAGGCCCTGTGAAGGGAGAGTAAAGACATTATCTACATACTGTAGAATTTAGCTCTCCTCAAGTGATTACTTGGTTAGATTTTTGCTAGGGCTATTAGAGAGGAAGATGAATTGGACAAATATTAAGTGAACACCCATCTTGGAGGGTACATTTTTGCACCAAAGAGGTGAGGGGTAGCCAGACCTTACAAGGCACTGTTGAGAGAATGGTAATTGGTCCCTTAAGTGATATAAAGGGGTGTGAATCTCTTTTTGAGGGAGGGGATGCTATTTGCCTCACCCAACAGGTTTATCCCTGTCCTCCTTATTCTGCTCTCGGTTATAAAAGACTAAAGAACCTAATCTGAAGACCCCCTGCACAGGAGCACTGTGTTGCAAGGCTGACTTTTGTAATTTCCTACCAGTTCATTTTTAAGCCAAACAGTTTAAGGTTAGGGAAAATTAAACTTTTCCCATTTTTAGGGAATGCATCCAAGGGGTGTGTCCTGTGGTATGAAGACACAGTTACTCATCTGCCATTTGTGAAGAGGGAACAGAGGGGAAAAAAAGAGGAAAAAGAAAAAAGAAGGCATCTCCCCTTTCTTCCTATTATCCCAAATGGGGTGTCCCCCATCATCCTGGGTTCTGGACTTAAGCAGTCTTTACCATGTACCATTGGTCCCATCTTGTCACAATTACCCACTTGAGAACAGAGGAGATATTGGAATGAACAGTTGGTCCCTGTTCATTCCTGGAGTTTCAGAATTAAGTGGTCCTCACTGTGTACCACCCCCCAGCCTTTCATCTCTGTTCTCATGGTAATCTGTTAGCCTGGGACCACCCTTCATCTCTGTTCTATGGGTCTCTTGCATCTGTGGCCTTGGGCCAGCCTCCTTGTCTCCATAACCTTAGAGTGACCCTCACTCAGAGCATTTTACGAATAAAATGATTATCCCTTTTCTTAGAAGAATGTTTCTCCATTAACTGCTGCAAGGACTGGACTTCTTTCCCTCCTCCCTTAGAATATGACCTTGAAGATCTTGATACAGGTTGAGAAGGGCATGGAAGTAATTAGAGAAATGGAGGCTGCAGGAGGAAGTAGAAGGAAGTGAGAGAAATATTCATGGAAAGGCTTCATATGCTCTTGAAAATAGCTGCTCTTGGATTCCAGAGGGTCATGTGTATTCACCCTCTGGACATAAAGCAGTAACCTCCGGAGGACTTGGGGCTTGGGGTAAGAATTTCTCCTCTTCCCAAAGTCGTGCTGGCTAAAAAGGCAAGAGGGTGGAATCCTTAAAGGGCCAGAGTGAAGCCACATGCAGCCAGACAAGCTTGTTATGATAGCTATCAGAAAACTTAGCCCTTGGGCATAACAGCAATGAAAAGCACCTGGTGAGTTCTAAGAAGCTGGCAGAGCTGAGGTTCCAGTTAGTGTCCTGGCCATGTGCCAGCAGGGATGGGAAGGATTGAAGGTCATCTGAACTGGCAAAAAACAAATATAAACCTCCAGAGGTATTCGCAAGGGAGTCCATGACTTTGCTGCTGCACAAACGCAGAGAACCATGGGGGCATCAATAACAGGGAGTGTGTATTTAAGAAGTCACATGGCATGCAAAGTAAAAGCAAAGAAGCAGGCTTGTCCCCAAGGTGGAAGGTCCAGTGGATGTCCAAAGCCATTTCAGAACACACATACAGAGAAAACAGGAAATTGAGCAGTTCAGGTTTTTGGAAAAGAGCTGATTTTAGATGGAAGAAATAAAAGCAGAAGCATCCCCAGACATTGCATAGTTTGTAAGCCTTAGCCTCACCACTCTCAGGACCCTCCTGTCTAAGAGGGCCATTTAGTGCCTCTAATCTTCTCATTGTGAACCCTAAGGTCTTTCCTACCCACAGGAGCCACCTATAAGGGTGAGCTGAGAAATTTGCTGGGGAAAGCATCGTCACCTAAGGCCAAGAGGAATTGTTCTGGGGGTTGGTTAGTAAGCAGGAGAGAGAGAGAGAGAGAGAGGAAAAACCACACACGGAGTTGGATGCCTCCAGCCAAAGAAGACGAGGCATAGAGATATCTTACCACTAAGGAACATATCTGAGTCACGTGGCACCAAATATGTTAGTGGTGGCAAATATCAATATCTGAGTCACTTGGCATCAAATATGTTACCAGTGGAAGGTATCTGTGTTACCAGTGGTGAATCTGTATAGGTCAGCAGCAATCTCAATTCTTCCCTCCTCAGGAGAAAGAATTTGAGGAACATATTCTCCAAAAGAGACCAAAGCAAGTTTCAGAGCAGGAGTGAAAGTTTATTTTAAAAGGCTTTCAAACAGGAAAGAAAGGAAAGTATGCTTGGAAGATACCCAAGCAGGTGACTTGAAGGACAAGTGCAGTGTTGAACCATGATCCTAGGACTTTATAGGCTGACCCATCTCTGGTGTTTTGCACCCCTTTCCCATGATTCTTCACGTAGGGTGGGCTGTCTGCATGCTCAGTGCCCTCCTTACTGTTTGAAAGTCAGCACGCACTGTGTGTTTAGGAAGTTGTGTGCATGGCTATCTGAGGCTTTTTCCCTTTTCTAGTGGAGTGCCCAACAGAAGACGATTCTCTGCCATTTTGCCTCTTAATGCACATGCCCAGGAAGTTACTTATTCCTGGAGTCTACATTCAATTAACACTTTAGGGCAACAGGTGTGGACCATCAGGAAATGGCCTCTCCTTGGAGCCAGATGCCAATTATCATTTTTAGAGAACCAATGTAATAATTGTCAAATCATCACCTGATATTCCTGGTAGGTGGGTGGAGCCCTCTCCTGTCTAACTACCTGTAACAAAATGTATTTGAGTATTGTCAGCCCAATCATGATTTTAGAAATGGAGAGATTCTTCAAAAGACCTAAAAATCAATGTTAAAAAAACCTATTTTCCTGTAACCTATGAAATTAGTATAAAAGAAATATTTAAAAAATTGTTTACTTTCATAAAATTTAGCTATTATATGTAATTTATCTT
The DNA here is from genome assembly GCF_000001405.40 of Homo sapiens. Taxonomy (NCBI): domain Eukaryota; kingdom Metazoa; phylum Chordata; class Mammalia; order Primates; family Hominidae; genus Homo; species Homo sapiens. Next base: position 33,925,003 of record NC_000023.11, read on the forward strand.
GACATTAACACTGTGACTCTGAAGCAAAACAATGTTAGTGGCAGCTGAAGTTTTAACTTAAGCAAAATGTATAGGTTTAATTGATTTTTTCAAAATTTTATTAATAGCAAAGTTGGGAAATGTAAGGTGGGTAATAAATAGAATCTTATAATTTTTTCTGTGCAAATGAGGATGTTTTAAATATTATTTGTCTTCATCTTTTAAATGCTAGCATAAAATAAAAACAATGTACTAGACATGTTCTATAAACTTTTGTAAACAAATTTACATTTGTTAATATGAAATAAATGGTAACATGACTAATTTTAGAATCTTTATAATGTTGCAAATTGTGTATTGATATACACAATTACAGGCATGAGCCACTGCACCCAGCCTTAGTTTTTTTTAATCATCAGTTTAAAAATGATCAGTTTTATTACAAATTAGTAATTTTACAATAATATTAAGGGGTTTAAGAGGCTCTATTTCTTTTATTCAATTATTGTCTATTTATTTGGATCCAAACATAATTATCACCAAATATTTCATTTTTTCCATTGTTTAACCCCTTAAAGTTCTATCTAAAATGAATTACGTGATTGGACTTAATAAATTTTTGCTGATGATAATTATCTCTCTGTCTGTACTCCTGGAGATAAACTCCAGGAGTTTACTCCACAGGAGTAATGTTAATAGATCCCATCTACATGTAAGACCTGTCTAGACATGGAGACGAGTAGGGGGTTTGAAGGCATCACTTTATGCGAGAGTAACAATAAGAGGAGCCATCCACGCACTGTATCATTGAAATAAAGTTTAACAAAATCACAAGATGTTGTGGGAAGTCAGGGACCCTGAACGGAGGGACTGGCTGAAGCCATGGCAGAAGAACATAAATTGTGAAGATTTCATGGACATTTATTAGTTCCCCAAATTAATACTTTTATAATTTCTTATGCCTGTCTTTACTGCAGTCTCTGAACATAAATTGTGAAGATTTCATGGACATTTATCACTTCCCCAATCAATACTCTTACAATTTCCTGTGCCTGATTACTTTAATCTCTTAATCCCGTCATCTTCATAAGCTGCGGATGTATGTCCCCTCAGGAACCTGTGATGATTGCGTTAACTGCACAAATTGTTCATAAAGCATGTGTGTTTGAACAATGTGAAATCTGGGCACCTTGAAAAAAGAACAGGATAACAGCGATGTTCAGGGAACAAGGGAGATAACTATTAGGTCTGACTGCCTGGGAGCCGGGGCAGGACAGAGTCATATTTCTCTTATTGCTGAAAATGGGTAAGAGAAATATCGCTGAATTCTTTCCCCAGTAAGGAATATTAATAATTAACAGCCCTGGGAAAAGAATGCATTCCCAGGGGGTGGCCTCTAAAATGGCCACTCTGGGAGTGTCTGCCTTATGCAGTGGTAGATAGGGATGAAACACGCCCTGGTCTCCTGCAGCACCTCCAGGCTTGCTAGGATTAGGAAATTCCAGCCTGGCGAATTCTAGTCAGACTGGTTCTCTGCTCTTGAACCCTGTTTCCTGTTAAGATGTTTATCAATGACAGTGTGTGCACAGTGGGACATGAAACTTCATCAGTAGTTCTAGTTTCGCCCTGGCCTTGTGACCTCGCCCTGCCCATTTGCCTTGTGATATTTTATTGCCTTTGAAGCATGTGATCTCTGTGACCCACACCCTATTTGTACACTCCCTCCCCTTTGAAAATCGCTAATAAAAACTTGCTGGTTTTGGGGCTCAGGGGGCATCACGGAACCTGCCGACATGTGACGTCTCCCCCGGACACCCAGCTTTAAAATTTCTCTCTTTTGTACTCTTTCCCTTTATTTCTCAGACCAGCCAACACTTAGGGAAAATAGGAAAGAACCTACCTTGAAATATTGGGGGCTGGTTCCCCTGATAACAAGGAAAAGTTGAAAGAAACTGAGTGGAGTTTTATTCTTTTTATCTTTTAGTTTTTTAAATTTAAATGAAATTGTATATATTTAAAATGTACAGTGTGATATTTTGATATACATATACATGGTGAACTCATTACTACAGTACAGTTAATGTGAATTAACATTCGTGGTTGTATTTTTTTTCTTGTGTTGAGAATACTTGGGACATGCAATCTTAGCAATTTTTTTTCTAAAGAAGACATATATATATGGCCAATAGGTATAAGAAACAGTGCCAGGCACAGTGGCTCACACCTACAATTCCAGCACTTTGGGAGACCAAAGTGAGAGAATCACTTGAGCCCAGGAGTTCAAGACCAGCCTGGGCAACATGGTGAGACTCTGTCTCTACAAAAATTAGAAAACTAGTCAGGCATGGTGGCACATGCCTATAGTCTCAGATACTCAGGAAGTTACGGCAAGAGGATCCCTTGAGCCCAGGAATTCAAGGTGGCAGTGAGCTGTTATTGCACCACTGCACTCCAGCCTGAGTGACAGCAAGACTCAGTCTCAAATAAAAAGGAAAAAAGTGCTCAACACCACTTTGCATTAGGAAAATGCAAATGAAAACCACCATGAGATATAATCATACCCCAGTTAGAATGGCTAGTATAGAAAGATGAAAGATAACAAGCGTTGGTGAGGATGAGAAGAAAAGGAAACCCTGTGCACTATTAGTGTTAATGTAAATTAGTACAGTCATTATGAAAAAATATGAAGTTTTCTCAAAAAGCTAAAAATGGAACTACCAAGTAGATATTTTCACTTTGAAGTTTATCAGAGAAAAATACAACATTGATGAAACTGGAAATAATTAGGTTAAGTGAAATAAGCCAGGCACAGAAAGATAAACATCGCATGTTCTCACATATTTGTGAGATGTAAAAATCAAAACAACTGAACTCATGAGCATAGAGAGTAGAGGGATGGTTACCAGAGGCTGGGAAGGGTAATGAGGGCTGTGGGAGAAAGTGGGGATGGTTAATGGGTACAAAAAAAAATTGAAAGAATGAATAAGACCTAGTATTTGATAGTACAACAGGGTGACTAAAATTAATAATAACTTAATTGTACATTTTAAAATAATTCAGAGAGTATAATTGGATTGTTTGTAAATCGAAGGATAAATCCTAGAGATGGATACTCCATTCTCCATGTTTTGCTTATTTCACATTGCATTTATGTACCCACAAGAATTAAAAAATCAAAAATTAAAAAATTAAAAAAGAAAAATACAATGTGTTTATTATATCTTTTAAAAAATTGGTGTTTTGTTTTTGTAAAAGAAAATACAGTAATTATTTGGTTGATTGCTTCATAACATATGTAAACTAACAGCCAACTAGCAAGATAACTTGAAATATTAATTTTTTGGCCCATTTTTATTCCTGCTCTTCCAGATGTATGAACTTCTCTCCTACTTAGAAAAAATAAATTGCATAAAAAATTAAGATTTCCATAATTTATTAGTTTTTACTTTCCAAAATATACCTTGATTAGACACAACAGTTTCGGAAGCCAAAATTTTCTTTTTTTATATAGGTTTGTTTAGATCAAAGGTATTTGACAATCAAAAGCCTGTACATGAAAAATTTTGAGTTTATTCCATTTCAAAGAATTGGGGAAGAGAATCAATAGACACGTAGACTAGGTAATCTTTAGGAAAGACTGGAGGAGAGTACCTGGGCTGAGGAAGACAGGAGTAGTTGATGCAGCAAGGGTAAGTAGGACTATAGAAACTGACAAGGAAGGAATCGCATCTAATGGAGGAGGAGTGGGATAGGAGATTCAGTACAAAGAGACTGTTGAACACTCTTGCTTAGACTATTAAGCACTCTTGTTTATAGCACCAGAAAGTTGGATAAATGGGAGTTGGTGCCTACAGAGTGCTCTGGTCTGAATGCGTCCCCTAACATTCACAGTGTCGAAACTTAACTACCAATGTGATAGTATTAAGAAAGTAAGGCCATTAGGATGTGATTAAGTCAGGAGTGAAGAGCCCTCATGAATGGGATTAGTAAACTCATAAAAGAGACTGAAGGGAGTGACCTAGTCCTTTTTTGCCCTTTTTTTCTTCTTTGACCATATGAGGATATAGTGTCCACCCTCATTGGAGGATACAGCAACAAGATGCCAACTTGAAAGTAGAGAGTGAGCCCTTAACAGACACCAAATCTTCTGGCACCTTGATCTTGTACCAGCTTTGAATATACTTTTAAGTAATTATTGAGAAGTAAATTTTTATTATTTTTGAATTATTTTATCTGTGGTATTTTCTTATAGCAGCAGAAACAGACTAACACAGAGATAATATGTTATCACAGGCCTTTGAGTGAGGCTTGCCTATGATGAGTAGCTGCTGTCATTGTTTTTGTCACTGTTGAGAGGCAATCATGACAGCTCTCTGAATCCCCAAAAGATTTTCCAGATTAAATCAGAACTACCTGTGATTGACTTGTTCAGTCCACTTTATCTGCTTATAATGACAAATCTCTTTCAGTAATATATGGTCTTGAGGCTCCTAAAACAGAGGGCAGGATCTTGAATATCCAGACTACACATGTTGGTGGTGGTTATAACTGTTTAGAAGGGAAACCACTTCTAAACTTCTTAGTCCCAATACTTGTATGAGTCCAAAGCAGTGGTCACAATTTGCTACCACACCAATTCCATTAGCTGTTTTTGTGTTATGTTATAAGGTGAACAATTCATATTGTAAATGGGAAGTATAATGGTGAGAATAGACTCTCATCTGTGACAAATTGTTTTCAGGTGGAGTCATGAGTCTTGAAAGATGAGTAAAAAAAATTCCAGGCTTGGGCCAGGATATTGGTGTGAGTGTATATATCTAGCAATAAAAAATTGTTTTAAACATGAAAATACTGAACAATATAAGTCATTATAGATGAATTTGAAGGATCAATGATGAGATAAGGCTGGAGAATTAGGAAATTTCTATATCATCAAGGAATTCTTTTCACTTGAAATCTATTAGATTTTATCCTCTAGGCCAAGGGTCCCCAGTCCCTGGGCTGCGGACCAGTAGCAGTTCATGGCCTGTTAGGAACTGGGCCATACAACAGGAGGTGAGCAGTAGGTAAGCTAGCATTACCGCCTACACTCTGCCTCCTGTCAGATCAGCAGCGGCATTCGATTTTCAAAGGAGTGCGAACCTTATTGTGAACTGCATTTGTGAGGGATCTAGATTCTGTGCCCCTTAAGAGAATGTAACTAATTCCTGATGATCTGAGGTGGAACAGTTTCATCCTGAAACAATCCCCCACCTCCCGTCCCACGGAAAAAGTGTCTTCCACGAAACCAGTTCCTGGTTCCAAAAAGGGTGGGGATGACTGCTCTAGGCCAAAGAGATTTTTAAATCTCCATTGAGGAATTTCAAAGAGATGAAGGAAATGATAAGATTTGCATTTTAGAAAGATTACTCTGTGCCGTGATCAAGGATGTTCAGACTGAAAAGAGACCTTTGAAATGCTATAGACCTTGAGTCTTGCTTGAAGTGTAATTAGAACTAAGATACATGGTTCTTTTGAATATAGTTGTAAGTAATTATTAAGAAACTTCTGCTATTGCTATTTTTATTTTATTTATGCTTTGTGTGTGTGTGTGTGTGTGTGTGTGTGTGTGTGTGTGTGTGTGTGTGTGGCAGGGTCTCGCCCTGTCACCCAAGTGGGAGTGCAGTGGCATGATCATGGCTCACTGCAGCCTCCACTTCCTGGGCTCAAGTGATCCTCCCACCTCATTTTTTGATTTTTTTTTGTAGAGACGAAGTCTCAATATGTTGCCCAAGCTGGTTTTGAACTCTTAGGCTCAAGCAATCCTCCTGCCTCTGCCTCCCAAAGTACTGGGATTATAGGCTTGAGCCACTGCACCCAGCTGTTGCTATTTTTAATATTTCATAATAATTTATCTTCTACATTTTGTTTTTATGAGCATGTATTTTTTATTACAGGTCTGTTGTCCTTTATTTCATGTGGACTATAAAGCCCTATTTTATATCTAGTATACTGAGTCACGGTGGTGGCAGGCAGAAGGAGAGAAAGACAATATTTATTGACCATTTTCTGTTTAATATGTACTCTGCTAGGTTCTTTTAATTTATAGCTACCTAAATGATATTCAGTGAGAAGTAGTTAAACAGAAATAAAAGTTTAGCTGCTATATCTAGGGATAGAGTTACTGCTTTTTTAGCAAATATGTGATGGTGTTTGTTTTTCAGCCTGAAGGGACTATATGTTTGATTTTCAACCACAATAAAGAAATAGCCTTTCTTATTAAATAATTGTTAAAGTTATTTCAGATGGCACAACATGTGAAGAATGTGTTTTGTTGTAGTGAGTAAGTAAATATAACACACGTACATAAGCCACCAAGTTATTAAAATAGAAAAGCATTTATAGAGGCACACAAAACGAAAAGTCACATCAAGAATAATCCCTTGTTAACAAAGGGCAGAATAGACCAGAACAAGAATATTCTTGAAGTAGATTCATCAACAGAAGAAAAAGGAATAAAGACTATCATAAAAGAATCGCTACTTGTAGTAATATTAGGTCAAGGATTTTCCATTGCTCTTTAGTGAGGGGTAATGGCAAAGTTAGATAAAACCTTCACTGTAAGGTGTTCACTCTTGCCATTTGTAAGGCTAGATTATGCTATTAATCTTTGATGAAGGTTCTGCTAGTCCCAACAAATACCTTTTTTTCTTTATAAATCTCCTACTTAAGCATGCCATCCAAATATTGTTTGAAATAGATAACTGGATTGGATGATCCTTTATTAACTTTTAATCAAGATTTTGATTCCCAGAATGAAGCATGGTGAACCATATCCCTCACAGACTTTTGTTTTTACTTAATAAAGCTAATTATTACATATTCTACTTGATTCACATAACCAGTCTATAAGATTTTATTCACATTTTACAGAAAAATTGAAGTTCAGAAGGAATTATGCATCTTAATCAAGACCACATATCCAGTAAGAAGTAGATACAAGAAACAAACATAAAATTGGGTAATTTTGTTTTATTTTCAGTTGCCATGCCTTTTTAATATTTTTTAAACTGGAACAGTTTCTGGATCCTTTATTGTATTTCTTGACATTGATGTTTTTGAATTGCACAGACCAATTGTTTTGTAGACTGTCTTAGTCCACTTGAGCTTCTGTAAGAAACTGCCATAGACTGGGTGGTTTATGAAAAACAGAAATTTATTTCTCACAGTCCTGGATGCTGGAAAGTTCCATAATCTAGGCACCGACAGATTTGGTGTCTGGTGAAAGCTAGCTTTCTGGTTCATAAAGGGCTGTTTTCTCACTGTGTCCTTACTTGGTGGAAAGGGAAAGAGAGTCTTTTGGGATCTCTTTTGTAAGTACACTACCCTCATGATCTAGTTAATGACTTATCAAAGGCCCCACCTCCAAATATCATCACATTTGGGATCAGGACATACATTTAGCCTATAGCATAGACTATCCAACTTGAGTTTTTTTTAAATATTTTTTTCAAATTTTTTATTTATGTTTCCATAGGATGAGATTCAGGTCATACAATTGTGGCAGGAATACCACAGGAGTTATGCTAAGTTATTGTATCCAGAGGTACATGCATTACTGATAATCTTATCTTTGATCATCTTGGTAAAATGTTGTCTTCCAGGTTACTCCACTATAAAGTTACTATTTTTCCCCCTTAGTAATTAAAAAGTATTTGTAAGGTGATAATTTGAGACCATGTAAATACATTGTTATTTCTTAAGTTTTTACCTAAGAGATTTAGAATCCATTGATGATTCCTGCCTGAATTATTTATTACCATGATGATTGCTGTCATAGCCCATTGTATGCAGCTATGCCAGAATACCACAGACTGGGTAATTTACAACAAGCAGAAATCTATTTGGCTCATGTGTTCTAGAGGCTGGAAGTCCAAGGTTGAGGGGCCACTTTTTTCCTGTGTTATCCCATGGTGAAAGGTATCAAGTGGGTGAGGGAGAGGGAAGGGGACCAAGCCCATTTTTTTGTAAGCAACCTACTTCCCGGTAAATGGTAATAATCCATTCACAAGAGCAGAGCCCTCATGACCTAATTCTCTTAAAGGTTCAATCTGGCAACACTGTTGCACAGGGGATTAAGTTTCCAACATATGAAATTTAGAGATGCATTCAAACTTTGGCAGTTGCTAAGGGGTACTTTTTAATTCTATCATTTCTTCTTATCAGTTGGCTTTCTACTATGTGTAAGGATATTCCAACTTGTTGTTTGTTTCTGTGTAGACTGATGGATTATTTAATAGGTTATAATGTTTTAATATTGTTAGTTCATATTATTATTTATTTTGATGTTCTTATTGTCCCAGATTTGGACAAAATATGCTGTTTTTAATATGTTCTTTGTTATTTTAACATGTCAGTATCATTAGTTGAGTACTTTTTTACTTTTTGGCAAAAAGATATTTTAGATTCTTGTAATTGTCCCTCCTCCAGCCTTGGTATCAGCTACCCTTTTTAAATACCCCCAGTTCCTTTTAGTAGAAAATGCCTTTACAAACTAAGATTTGAGGAGTAGGTATGCTGATTGTTATTGGGGAGATGTTGCTTCTAGTCTTTCAGCAGAAACATCTAGGGAAAAAGTATATGTGTATACATACATATATAAACATATACATACATAAAAATACCCACACATATCTGTATTTTTGTGTATGTTTAGGTGTATGTAGATATGAAGCCTATGATTATAATTAGAATCAAAATCATCATTGTGAAATTAAATTTAGGTCTGAACTTTCTTGAAGAAATAACAGATAAAGAAACCTGAGAATATTTATGTTTTCAGGATAGAAATTTTTTCCTGTAATTAATTCTAAGACTTCTTATTATGATCTTTGTACAAAGCAAACCGCTAATGTTTTTAACAGTAGTTTTATGTGAGTTGCATAAATGTACATAATTAATCATAGATACCTTCAAATGTTCTTATATTTACTCTTGATACAAATCAAACTATTAAACCATTATTCCATTTAAGTATTATTATAGAAATTTAAATCATTACAGGTCTTGTGACTTGATATTGAAAAAGAGCTTAGTACACATAGTTCAATGACTTTTTAGTCTTGCTATTTGATTATCTTTCTCATATATTACTTGTCTCAATTTAACTTGGCAGAAGCTTGATTACAGAAATGAAATGGTGGTCAATTCAATATTTGGTTCTTTTAAAAACCTGGGAATTGACAATTTATAATTGTATACATTTTGGGGGCACAAAATGATGTTAAAATTTATGAACACAGTATGGAATAATGAAATCATGCTAGCTAACATACTCGTTACCTCAAATACTTAAATTTTATTGTTGTAAGAACATGTGAAATTTACTTTCTCAGCAATGTTGAAAATTAACTATATTCTCCATACTGTATTATTAACTATATTCTCCATACTGTGCAATAAATCTCAAAAAGAACCCTATATCCTTCCTGTTCTACTAAGATTCAATGTCCTTTGGATATCATCTTCCTATTCCCCTCAACCCCAGCTTCTGTAAACCATTCAATTCTCTGCCTCTGTCAGTTTTATTGTTTTAGATTCCATACATGCAGTATTTTTTTATTTCTGTGCCTGGCTTATTTCACTTAACCTATTGTTCTCCAATTCCTTCCATGCTGTTACAAATGACAATTTTGTTTTTAATGTTTAAGGCTGAATGGTATTACATTGTGTATTTATACTAAATTTTCTTTATTCATCTGCTGATGAACAATTAAGTTGATTCTATAACATAGCTATTGTGAATAATGCTGTAATGAACATGGTAGTGTAGATGTCTCTTTGACAAATTGTTTTTAAATATTTTTGAGTAATTACCCAGAACTGGGGCTGGTGGATTATATGGTAATTGTATTTCTAACTTTTTAAGAAACTATTATAGTTTTCCATAATGACTTTACTAAATTACATTCCCACCAATGGTGTACAAGGGTTCCCTTTTCTGCATATCCTCGCCAACATTTATTATCATTCATGTTTTTTATAATATACATTCTCACAGGCATGAGATGATATCTGTATTAGTCTGTTTTCATGCTGCTGATAAAGACACACCTGAGACTGGGCAATTTACAAAAGAAAGAGGTTTAACTGGACTTACAGTTCCACATGGCTAAGGAAGACTCACAATCATGGAGGAAGAAAAGGAAGAGCAAGTCAGCAGCTTACATGTATGGCAGCAGGCAAAGAGAGAGAGGGAGCTTAATGCAGGGGAGTTCCATTTTTAAAAAACATCAGATCTTGTGAGACATATTCACTATCATGAGAACAGAACAGGAAAGACCTGTCCCCATAATTTAATCATCTTCCACCAGGTCTCTCCCACCACACATGGGAATTATGGGAGCTACAAGATGAGATTTGGATGGGGACGCAGAGTCAAACCATATTATTCCACCCCTGGCACCTCCCAAATCTCATATCTTCACATTTCAAAACCACTCATGCCTTCCCAACAGTCCCCCAAAGTCTCAGCTTATATCAGCATTAACTAAAAAGTCCAAAGTCTCATCTGAGACAAGGCAAGTCCCTTCCACCTATGAGCCTGTAAAATCAAAAGGAAGTTAGTTAATTCCTAGATTCAATGGAGGTACAGGCATTGAGTAAATACAGCCATTCCAAATGGGATAAATTGGCCAAAACAAAGGGGCTACAAGCCTAAGCAAGTTCAAAATCCAGTGGGGCAGTCAAATCTTAAAGCTCAAAAGTAATCTGGTTTGACTCGCTGCCTCACATCCACGTCACACTGTTGCAAGAGGTAGGTTCCTATAGTCTTTGGAAGCTCCGCATTTGTGACTTTGCAGGATACAGCCTCCCTCCTGGCTGCCTTCATGGGCTGGCATTCAGTGTCTATGGCTTTTTCAGGAGCACAATGCAAGCTGTCGGTGGATCTACAATTCTGGGATCTGGAGGATGGTGGCCCTCTTCTCACAGCTCCACTAGGTGGTGCCCCAGTAGGGACTCTGTGTGGGGGCTCCAACCCCACAATTCCCTTCGCCATTGCCCTAGCAGAGGTTCTTCATGAGGGCCTACCCCTGCAGCAAGCTTCTGCCTGGACATCCAGGCATTTGGATACTTCTTCTCAAATCTAGATGGAGCTTCCCAAGCCTCAGTTCTTGACTTCTGTTCACTTGTAGGCTCAACACCATGGGGAAGCTGCCAAGGCTTGGGACTTGAACCCTCTGAAGCCATGGCCAGAGCTCTATGTTGGCCCCTTTCAGCCACAGGTGGAGTGGCTGGGGCACAGGGCACCAAGTCCCTAGGCTGCACACAAAAGGGGGACCCTGGGCCAGGCCCATGAAACCACTTTTTTTCCTAGGCCTTCAGGCCTGTGATGGGAGGAGCTGCTCTGAAGACCTCTGACATACCCTGGAGACATTTTGCCTATTGTTTTGGGGTTTAACATTCAGCTCCTGGTTACTTATGCAAATTTCTGCAGCCAGCTTGAATTACTCCTCAGAAAATGGGTTTTTCTTTTCTATCAAATTGTCAGGCTGCATATTTTCCAAACTTTTATGCTCTGTTTCCCTTATAAAACTGAATGCCTTTGACAGCAACCAAGTCACCTCTTGAATGCTTTGCTGCTTAGAACTGTCTTCTGCTAGATACCCTAAATCACCTCTCTTAAGTTCAAAGTTCCACAAATCTCTAGGGCAGGGATAAAATGCCACCAGTCTCTTTGCTAAAACATAACAAGAGTCAACTGTGTTCCAGTTCCCAACAAGTTCCTCATCTCTATCTGAGACCACTTCAACCTGGATCTTATTGTCCATATTGCTATCAAGCTTTTGGTCGAAGCCATTCAACAAGTCTCTAGAAAGTTCCAAACTTTCCCACATTTTCCTGCCTTCTTCTGAGCCCTCCAAACTGTTCCAACGTCTGTCTGTTACCCAGTTCCAAAGTCGCTTCCACATTTTCAGGTATCTTTTCAGCAACACCCCACTCTACTAATACCAATTTACTGTGTTAGTCCATTTTCATGCTGCTGATAAAGACACACCTGAGACCCGGCAATTTACAAAAAAAAAAAAAAAAAAAACAGATTTAATTGGATGTACAGTTCCACATGGCTGGGGAAACCTCACAATCATGGTGGAAGACAAGGAGGAGCAAGTCACATTTTACATGGATGGCAACAGGCAAAGACAGACAAAGAGCTTATACAGGGGAACTCCTCTTTTTAAAGCTATCAGATCTCGTGAGACTTATTCACCATCACAAGAACAGCATAGGAAAGACCCACCACTGTAATTCAATCATCTCCCACCAGTTCCTTCCCACAGCACATCGAAATTATGGGAGCTACAAGATGAGATTTGGAAGGGGACACAAAGCCAAACCATATCAATATCCCATTGTGTTTTAAATTTGCATTTCCTTAATGATTAGTGATGCTGATCATTTTTCATGTCTGTTGGCCATTTGTATATCTTCATTTGAGAAATGTTGATATGTACCTGTATTAGTCTGTTCTCACACTGCTAAAAATAAATACCCAAGACTGGGTAATTTATAAAGAAAAGTGGTTTAATTAACTCACAGTTCTGCATGGCTAGGGACACCTCAGGGCTCTTACAATCATGGAGAAAGGCACCTCTTCACAGGGCAGCAGGAGAAAGATTGATTGCCAGCAGGGTAAATGCCAGATGCTTATAAAACCATCAGATCTCATGAGAACTTCCTCACTATCATGAGAACAACGTGGGGAACCATGCCCATGGTTCAGTTACTTCTACCTGGTCCTGCCCTTGACACATGGGGATTATGGAACTACAATTCAAGATGAGATTTGGGTGGGGACACAGCCAAGCCATATCAGTACCCCTTGCCCACTTTTAAGTGAGTTTCAGTTTTCTTGCTATTGAGTTGTTTGAGCTCCTTATATATTTTTTATATTACCCCATTATCATATGTATGGCTTGCAAATATTCTCTCCCAATTAATAGATTTTCTTGGCATAGTGTTGATTGTTTCCTCTGCTGTGCAGAGCTTTTTAGTATTATGTAATCCCAGTTGCCTATGTTTTTGTGGCCTGTGCTTTTAGAGTCGAATCAAAACAAAAAAAATTATTGCCCAGATCAATGTAGTATCATTTTACTCCTGTGTTTTTTTTAATACTTTTAGAGTTTCTGGTCTTTTATTTAAGTCTTTAATAAAACTGGCTATTTAAAATCACATATCTTTTTTGCCAAATGAATTTTATCTGTATATGCATCATATCTGTGAATGTCCTATTAAATTTCTCACTGAATTACAAGTGGTATTGGTGTGTCAATGGAATAACTAAGGATAAAAGAAAATGTTATTTTATTTACCCATTCAACAAATATGTATTTAATGGCTATTGTATGCCAAGTTCAGTCTAAGAGATTGTTCTGGAGATAATGGCTGTTGTATTCTGTGTAAGGTAGTTGGTATTTGTCAAGAAGAGTGTTGGAGAACATTAAATGTAGAGTCCTTTGTATGAGAATGAGATGTAGTGCTTGAAGAGATGTCAGAATACACTGGGTTCCTAGAAATTACAATGAACAGATCTTGATGGAATAACCAGATTTAACCTTTTGCACATTTTCATTAATGGATACATTCTCTTTGAGAGAGGTTAATATAGAGGTGCTTGAAAGTAAGGATTTGAAATGTCAACATTTTCCAGTTATCTCTTAGTATACAGTGATGTATTCTTAATCTTTCTAAATGCTTTTTTTGGACCAAATGAATTACCAAGTAAATCAAGAAACAATCTTTCGATACCTAACAAAACTGACATCATGAAAGAAACTAGATTTTTTTCAGCTAATGAAATAGCGTACATAAAATTTACCATAATTTTTACATTTTTTCAACATTTAAAAATAATAAGGCATTCTAGGTTTTTAAACCATTTACAACAAATTTTTTTTTTCAATCACAAAGAAAAATCTAAAATATTCTTATAGTAAATCCACTGATATAGTTTGGATATTTGTCCCCACCCAAATCTCATGTTGAACTATAATCCCCAATGTTGGAGGTGGGGCCTGGTAAGAGGAGTTTGGGTCACAACGGTGGATCCTTCATGGCTTGGTGTTATCTTCACCAAAGTGAGTGAATTCTTAGGAGATGTGGTTGTTTAAAAGTTTGTGGCATCTCCCACCACCTCTTGCTTTTGCTTACACTATGTGACATGCTTGCTTCCACTTTGCCTTTCACCATGAGTAAAAAGCTCCTTGAAGCTTTCCAAGAAGCCAAGCAGATACCGGTGCCATGCTTGTACAGCTCACGAAACTGTGAGCCAATTAAACCTCTTTTTTTAATAAATTACCCAGTCTCAGATATTCCTTTATAGCAATGCGGGAAGAGCCTAAGATACCTACATACCTTCCATCTAGATTCTATAATTATAATTTTTTCTACATTCTTTACCATATATATATCTATACTTCCATCAATTTGTCAGTTTATCTTATTTTTACATTACAGTTCCAAAGAAGTTACATACATCAGTAAATCTTACACCTAAACTCTTCAATATGCATATTATTTACTTGACATCCATATTTATGTTATTTTTCTTACAATATGAATGAGGTATAATTTATATGCAATAAACTACACACATTCAAGTCACACAATTTTACAAGTTTTGACATAAGTATGTATACATGTAGGAATCCAACACTTCAATCAACATACGGAAAATTTGTTTCACCCACAAAAAAATTTCTCAGATCTTTTTGAAATCCCTCCCTCTCTCTAATCCCTACATAACCACTGATCTGTTTTTTCAACAGCATGTATTATTGTTCACTTTTTAAAATTTTATATGGATGAAATAATACAGTATCTGACTACTTTTGCTCAGCATAATGCTTTTGAGATTCATCCACATTGTTATTTTATCAACTTATTTTTCCTTTTTATTGCTGAGTAGTATTTCATTGTACTCAAAAATGTTGCTGGGAAAACTGGATATCATTATGCAGAAGAATGAAACTAGACCCCTGTCTCTCAACATATACAAAAATCAAATCAAAATTATTTCTCTCTATATTCATACTACAGTTTATTTACCATGCTCTTGTTGATGAGCAAACTGGACTGTTTGAAGTTTGGTCAATAATAAAACTGAATTTTACATTTTAAAATAACTTAAAGACTTTAATTGGATTGTTTGTAACTGAAAGGATAAATGCTTGAGGGGATAGATACCTCATTTTCCATGATGTGCTTATTTCACATTGCATGCCTGTATTAAACCATGTCATGTACCTCATGTTGGAGGCTCAAATGAATAAATCTACTGTTCTTGTATTGCCATTCTTGTACTAGACTTTTGTATTCATGTTTCATTTCCTTGGATGAATGAAATTGGGAAATAGTGTGTAAAATATAATAGTTAAAATACAATATTGATCTTATAAAAACAAAAAAAAATTATCTATCATATGTTAATAGTGTTTTTTTACAGGAACCTCTGTCACACCCTATGCCTTAGGGATTATTCAAATGTTAAACAAATGTATCATAAACAATAGCCTTTTAATTTTTCAGTCACTACAATTCTTTGGATGAAGTTACATGTGAACACAATTGTTTTATCATGAATTTTACTTAGTATATATTGGTGTCAGTATAGTTAACAGACTTATTTTCTAATAGTCTAGTGACCATCAAGCTTTTAAAATTTGAATCTAGACGAGATTGTCATAATTCTGTAATTTTTTCCTTCACATTATGGAGTAACAAATTGTTAATTGCTTTAGTGGTGAGAACTGAAAAGCAATGAACAAGTTTAATGGTACATTTCTCTTTTTTGTCCCTCAAAATCACCAAGTATGAGATGATTTTCAGAATGTCTAGATTTTGGAATTATCATCATTGTTGATTATTTGGTTTTGCCAATACATTTATTAACCTTTTCAGAAAACAATGTCAATGTTTTTGGTAAAACATTGGATTGATTATAAAGACCCTCATAAACACACATACACATACACATACATGCACACACACAGACATGCACAGAAGCATCCATGCACATACAGAGACAGATAGCATTGTAGTTAGCTAAGATTACCGCCTTTTATAGCATTGAGGCAGCCACAGATAGCAGAAGTAAAGTATTACTTTTTTGCAATTGCCCTTGGTTCCTAAAATCTCTAAAGAAGGCATTTGATTGTGTGACATAATGCCCACCGAGGCTTATGCCCTACTTCACTGGAGTAGCTATTTTTTGTTGTATCATTCAGAAATGAAGAAAATAGCCATGATCTGAAATATTAAGAGACTTTCAGGAACTGGAACGTTTCTGTTCTCCAGCCAAACTTAGCATCAGCTAGGCTACATTCCCTAGGAAGAAGGAAGACAACAAAATATCCAGATGCACAGTGATATTGTCCAACTAAATGTCAGGTGATATTGTCCAGAAATCCTCAAATAATATATCTCCATAATTCCAGTATTCCTGAGAACCAAGTTATCTCCCCAAATATTTGATAATAAAATAATTTAATAGCATGCTTCCTCATTGAATCTTAGGGTGACATCAAAATACTAAAATAACGTTATTTTGTAAGAGCAGAAATATCTTGATTTAGATCTCAGAACTAATATTTGCACTATGCACTACACTCAGTGAAGAAAGGCACTAAATCAAATAACAAAAATCACATTAAGAAACTTGAGAATTATTTCATATATAAAAGCCTCATTCATAGCTCCCACTTCGAACAATTAGGTAAGTGAAAGTACTAAGGTTTGAATATTATCTCC